>NC_000007.14:150822016-150973531 GCF_000001405.40 Homo sapiens
AAGTCTGGCAATACCAAGTGTTGGTTAGGATGTGGAGCAATGGGAACTCTTGTACACTGCTGGCAGAAATGTAAACTGGTACAACCACTTTGAAAAACAGGCATGAACTAGCAAAGTTGAAATATATGACTTATGACTCCACCATTGCATTTCAAGGTATACACCCAGATACACGAATTACCAAGGTCATGTGTGCAGAAAGGATTATAAATACATTGTTCATAATATCCCCAAACTAGAAACAAGACTAATATCCATCATCATTAGAATGAATACACCCATTGTTGCAAATTCCTAGAGTAGAAAATTACACACTAATGAACAACCTACAACTACATAAAATTAAGAAAAATAAATAAGACAAAAAAATTATCTTTGGTAAGACCCTGTTTATAGAAAGTTCAAAACAGACGAAACCAACTTATATCCTTCAGGAATGCCTACAAAAAAGGAAAAAAATCTAGAGAAAAGCAAAAAAGTAATTTGCACAAGAGGTATTATATGGCTCATTTCTGGAGAGAGGGAGAAAGGGAGGGGTTGTTATTAGGGGACTGGGGTTGCTTCTGGGGCAATGAGCTA
Source organism: Homo sapiens (assembly GCF_000001405.40). Taxonomy (NCBI): domain Eukaryota; kingdom Metazoa; phylum Chordata; class Mammalia; order Primates; family Hominidae; genus Homo; species Homo sapiens. Next base: position 150,822,596 of record NC_000007.14, read on the forward strand.
TTCTTTGATTTGGTGATACATTAAGTTTGTTTTATAATTACTCACACAACTACATATGCTTAATGTTCATTTGTATGTATATTTTATAATTAAAAAGAAAACTGAAGAACCCAAAATTCTGTCAAAGCCAAATATCTTTAGACAAATCTTGAGGACAAAGGGAATGGAAATTCCATCAAAGTGGTGCAGTGACCTGAGTAGGAGTTTACAGATTATAATCTGACATGAAAATCAGAAATTATATGAACCAAATCTAAGAGGGACAGCTAAATGGCCACCGCCTTTAAGTAACAATGTCCCTCTTTTAGACTCTAAATAGGATTCAAGGGATCCCAGTAGTGTCACATAGATGTAGACACATCCCAACAGTATTCTCTAGTTAAGAAGTTCAGCAAGATGGAAACTCATTTCCCAAAATCAAGAACCACAACTTACAAAGAGAAATTATATGCTGAGCAGCACTTTTGAGGCAGGAGATGGTAGAGAGGGAACCAGAGACTGGATACAGGAAGAATGAGTGAGAGCATGAGAGCAGAAGCAAGGTGAAGGGGCGAGTGAGCAAGAAGTGAGATATGAAGCAGAGGCTGAGCAGCCAAAACAAAAGTGAGATTTTAAAAAAGTGAGTAAGGAGCCCACATGGCCGCCTAGATCTGGACCAAACCTGTCAGGGGCAGCTCCTCAGAGATGAGCATGCACGTTAGACAGAAAACATATCCTTAAAATGTTCCCGTATGGTAATTAGCTACTTAAGGTTCATGCATATGGACTGCATATTATGCACGTACTTAAAATTATGGGATGGAGGTGACTCGCAAGAAGTCACAAGCGCACACGGGCCATAGTATTAAATAACTAAGCAGCCCACCTGTCCATCAAAAGGCAGACACTGGCTAGACATCAGGCAGTCTTGGCCACAGAAGAGAAAAAATATATAAAAGAATTCAAAGTACACCAAATTGACGTTGATCTCATTTCGCAGAGGTCAGTCCACTCTCCCCTCTCTGGGAGTGTAATACTATGCGTCATACACTTTTGCTGCTTTGCTATCTGTGTGTATCTCGTCCAATTCTTCGGTCAGGACACTAAGAGCCTGGAGCTGCACAGCACCATCTGGTAACACTTTCAAGAAGAACAAAATAAAACCAACATCAGGGATGCCGCTAGTTGCAGAAATGTTTGCGAAAGTTGATCAAATGAATTGGGTCATTTTTGTCATACCCAACTAAAACAAAGTCAAAAAGCCAGGGGGAAAAGCACTCAGGAAAGATAGCATTGCTCCAAGAATGTAATTCTCCGCATGTCTAACTGCTGAAACCAACTGTTGTAACCTGAGACCAGTTTTATCTACCCTGCTGAGATAACTTGCTGCAACTCTAGGACTAATTTTGCCCAATGCCATTGCCCACCAGTTGAAACTTGCCAGCTCCCTAGAACCTTATTAGTGCCAATGAACTTTCTCAAAGAGCAATGGGTAACATTCGGTAAAACCTCCAGCCTTCTCTTTGTTCTTACGGTGTGCATGTGTGTCCCAAGTGGCAATCCTTTCTTCCCAAATAAACGGTTAAATTTAGAGCTCAGTCTCTACTTTTTTATTTTGACTTCAACAACTTGAAGCCAGAAACAGTAGGAAACGCAGTAAAGGAAGCTGAGAGTATGAACGCCCATGCCACAGCTGAATTAATAAAGGACCACCGGGTTTGGAGGCCGGGCAACAGATGAGAGGAACTTTAGAAAGGTGGTGCTATCCCCAGTGAGCTTGAGGAACACATGTCTGTCCCTGCCATGTAGAGGAAGATAGTACCTGGCATTTTACCTGGCCACAGCACACACACATTAAATATTTGCTGAGTGAATCCCAAACCAGGAGTGTTTCCAAACTCCCCAAAGCTGCGCTACTGGGACACGAGGTGGTGCTGTGCACATTCATGGGGTGGGGAGGCGGGGCTTAGCACATAGCTCCCTCATCATTGGCTTTTAGAGAGTGAGCGGCAGGCAGGTTGTCCATTGGATACCAAGATATGGCGGCCCCCTGACTGGGAAGACATGACCTTACACACCTTGGTTCTTTAACTTGACCTTGGGAAGACAGGGCCAGCCAGCAAGGTGGCTGGGGAGAAGGCCGAGGTCCCCGGGCCGCAGACGGGAATTGAGGGTCAGGAGCCGAAGTGAAACTGGAGCCGGCGCCACGAGATGCAGCCCTGAAGGGCACCTCCACCCAGTGGCCCTCCCCCACCCCACTCCCGGGGCCCTCCTGGCCCAGCGTCACCCTGCTGCGCTAGGACCTACAAGGGCGGCCTCTGGGAGCCCTCTGCTTTACCTCCTCTCCTGGGTCAGGCTGCAGAAAGAACAAGCTCCTCCACCCTGCCTGGTAGGCATGGAAGGAGGGCAAGTGTTGGTAGCCATGGTAACTCGGGGTAGCCATATTTTCGTGCAGTCACTCTGACCCCATCTCGATGGACAAGGATTGTCCCATCTGTTTCTACAACTGTTTCCCAAACAGGCAGTGCTGTCCTAAGGAAGCACCCACCTGGCCCAAACATGCTGTGCTTTCTTTGTGGCTGCCTTGCCTCCCCAACCAATTGTAACCCCTTGGAATCAGGACTGTCTCCCGTGCGTTTTCTTCTCTCTGCAGCCTCGCCTGCAAAGGCTTCTGTGCCTTCCCTGAGATGCCCTAGCAAATGGGTCTTTTCGAACATTACCCACCTCAACGTAAGTCCTAGGCCAAGCCGGTTCTCTGCTTATTCAGAACAGAGTGCGTCTTTACTGTCATGCCATTACCTGGCAAAGGGAATTGCCGGACGGCAGGTGGCACAGAATTCCTTTGGAACTCCAAATTCTTTTTTCAGCTTAGTCTTCCCTATGATTCTGACATTTTCTACCTGAAGGCAGAACACATGGGTTGAGCTTGGGTTCTCAGAATAGAGGGGTGGAAACCAAAGCGGGTCTGCTTGAGAGGATTCATTTTTGAGCCTTCTTCCCAACAGAGTATGTAGCCAGCCCTGAAGACAAAAACAAAAGAAAGGAATGAGATCGAAGTATCTGTTCCCCTGGCTTCCTCTGTGCCAGATCACAGCCTGGCTTAGCACTGTTCTGCCAAAAGCCACCGATTTGGTCAGGTGACTGTGTCCTGCAAGTCTCCCCCGATCTATTAGCCATGCCCTCTCCTTGCCTCTTCTCACCTACCTAGGGGTGAAAATGGCCTCCAACTACGCTTAGCTTCAAGGTGCTTCACCTCCTCTGGTGATGTCCTTGCCCCTGCCTCATCTTTGTAAATAGTCCCTTTTTTAAACTCGATATTCCTCCTTCTGAGAATGCCATTTCCTAGCAGAACCCTAACTGACTTTTCTTTTTCTTCAACTTTACTCTCCTTTGATCCTAGAATCAACTGCATTCACCAGAGAGTACCTACAATTGCCAGCTAGTGTGCTAAGCACTGGCCATGCAGAGATAAGAGGCACAGGTTACAGTCTGTGGATATCTTGGGAGGCCAGGGCTATGATGGAGGTCAGCTCCAGGTAGGGGCATGGCGGAGAGAGGAAGATGATCAAGGGAGGCATCAGAGAGTCAGCAGCAGCCAGGCAAAGGTCGGAAGGGGCAGAGTGTTCCAGGCAAGGGGTGTGTGCCGAGATAGGAGCCTAGGTAGGCTGGCATTGCTGAGACTGATGAGAGGTCAGACCCTAGAGGTACACAGAAGCCAACATGTCCCAGTAGGCAGCCTCTGGAGGACTTTGGCAGGGTGGCAAATGGCCAGATTCCCACTGTGGAAAGGTCATTCTAGCAGAGGCAGACAGGCTAAATTTGGAGGAGACAAGTTTGGGAGCAGGAAAGCCAGTAGGAGTCTACTGCAGGAATTTAGGTAAAACATAGCAAAAGCACAATCCAAAATAATACAGGAGGAAATGGAATGCAGGAGATAGGTGAAGGAATTCTCAGGAAATAGAACTTGCTGGGGCATTGGGTGTGACTGGGAGGGGAAGAAATACGAGTCTGGCAGGACTCTCACATGCCTGGCTGGAGCATTCGTGGGTTTATGGTGGCATTCCCATGATAAGGGAGGGGCAATATGTTCTTCCTGGAATTTGTTGAGTTTGAGGTACCTGTGGTCTAGGCAAGGAAAAATGCCCATGAGGAAAATGGGGATATGGGTCTGAAGCTCAGAATTGTCTAGACTAAAGGCATGCAGTTGATCATCATTTTCATGATAGGGGAGGAATGGTATAAGCAAGGAGTATGCTAAGCTTCTGCTTCCGTGCTTTCGGTTGAGAAGTAGGTCATTGAACAATAATGAAAATGCTGAACATTTCTTGAGTACTGACTACATGGCAGGCAATATACGAGGTACTTCATGGTGAATACTTTGACTTCATTTATTAGAATCCTCACAGCAACCCTATGAGGCCCTGACTAGTGTTTTCCCCATTTTTGAACTAGGAAACTAAGGCTCAGAGAAGTTCAGAATTTGTCCAAGGCCACACAGCTAGAAAATGTCATAACTGAGATTTGAATCCAGACTTTCTGACTCCCGGTTCACCTCAGTTACTTGTTCTATAAAAAGATTTTATATTTTTGTCCTTCATGTAGTTTACCCCCAAGAACAGGTAAGCCTTAAAGATGAGACCAGAATTAACTGCCCTTTTCCTACAAACTTTCAGCTTTCAAATCTGTACCTGTTGATGAGAGAACCTCCAGGTTTGTCCCCTACTACCAATGATGAGGCAAACACAGAGAGAGGAACCCCTTTGACTAAAGCTGAATTGTAAAGGACTAAAGCCCTAACTTCTCTTCGAATGACCTGCATTCAAATCAAGTAAGCAGCTGTTCAAAGAATTCAGTCGGAGGTATGACTTGTGCAGTGAGAGTTGAAAACGCAAATCCTGTTCTGTACCTCCCTGTTTAAAGCATTGCACTGGCTCCTCGTTGCCTTCAGGATAAAGTCTATATTCCCTCCACATCTCCTTCCCTACTCCTCCAGCATTCTGACTGGCTGAGCCAACTACTCTTACCCCAGTACAGACAACCTAACTTTGCAGAACTACTCACAATTCCTAAACACCATCGAGGATCAAGCCTCTGCCTTTTTCCCTTCAACATTTTACTATGAAAATTTTCAAAAATAAAATTTTAAAAATTTACAAGTGAATACTTCTCTATCTAGACACTAAAATTAATATTTTCCTGTATTTGCTTTATCATGTATCAATTCATTTATCCATCCCATTTTTGTGCATTTCAAAGTAAGTAGTAGATATCTGCATACTTACCCCTAAATGCTTCAGCATGCATATTATTAACTAGAGTTCCAAATTTGTTTCCAGTTCTTTTTTTCTTTCGTATGTAAAATTAACATACAATGAAATTTTTTCCCATTGTATGTAAAATTAACATACAACGAAATGCACAAATATTAGAGGCAGTGTATTAGTATCCTTGCTATGGTAACAAATCACCACATACTTAGTGTCTTTAAATGACATACATTTATTCTCTTGGAAGTCCAAAATCAGTCTGGCTGGGCCAAAGTCAAGGTGTAATCAGGGCTGGCTTCTTCTGGTATCTCTGAAGGGACAATCTGTTTCCTTGCCTTTTTCACCTTCGAAAGCATTCCTTGGCTCATGACCCCTTCCTCACATCACCAACCTCTTGCTTTCATAGTTACCTCTCCTACTCACTCTGATCCCCTGCCTTCTTCTTATAAAGACTGTGATTACATCAGTTCCACATGGATAACGCAGGATAATCTCCCATCTCAAGATTCTTAGTTTAATCGCATCTGCAGAGTCCTTTTTGCCATGTGAAACAACATATTCACAGCTTCCAGGAATCAGGATGTGACCCTCTTGGAGAGCAATTATTCAGCCTACCACATGCACATCTAATGAGTTTTTACAAATGCATACATTTGTGTGACTCAAACTCCCAGCAAGATAGCCTTACCATCACCCCCAGAACATTCTCATGCCCCTTCCCAGTCTGTCCCAGTCTCACCCTCACCCCCTAGAGCCAGCCACTGTTCTTTTTGCCTCTTCAGAACTTCCTATAGATGGCGTTATCTTGCAAATACCTGGTATGGTGTCTGGCATGTAGTAAGTGCTCAGGAAAGGACTTCATCTTTTGAATCTGACTTCTCTTACTTGACACAATGTCCTGAAGACTCATCCATGCTGCGTGTATCAGTCTCAGTCTGTTCCTTTTGATTGCAGAGTAATATTCCATCAAATAGGCCACAATCAGATAGTTCCCTTATTCATCCATTCTCCTGTTGACAGACTCCAGACTGCTTCCAGTTTTTGTGCTTTTTTGTTTTTGTACAAATCTATGGGGTACATGAGAAAACTTGTTACTTATGTGTAATGTATAGTGATCAAGCCAGGGTATTCCAGGTGTCCATCACCCAAGTACAATACATTTTGTTAAGTATGGTCACCCTCCTCTGCTATCAAACATTGAATTTATTCCTTCTATCTAACTGTATATTTATATGCTTTAACCCACTTCTCTTTGTTGATGGCTGCTGTGAAACCTCAGTTCTTGTGTTCCTAGTTTAAAGGAATTTAAACAGGAGACACACAGCAAAGGAGATGCAGTGTAGAGCAATTTATTGCAAAGGAGGAAGAATACCCTGAAAGTTAGGTGCAGAATAGACAGGATGCCCCAAGAGGGATTCAGGGTGGGCTGCCTATGAGGATGAGATAGCAAAGACCCACTTGAGGGAGACTCCCTTTATCGAAGGCTTACCTGATTATTCATGAGGGGGTGGGAAACTGTGTTGCTAGGAAGCATGTTCTGGGATGGGTGCACATGTGCAGTACCTGTACATGCTTGTTCATACATTGCATGTGTCATTAGCACCCTAAATCTCCAACCAGGGGTGTTTTTTATTATTATATTGAGCAAAGGGTCAGTCTGAGGACAGGTAAAATCAAAATGTGCATGCTCTCTACAGGGGAAATTCCCTACTGGAGACAGCTTTGCTGAATGAGCTTGACTGCAGTGCGAATGCTGGGGCTTATTGTGGTGACTATGAGGTCACCAAGGTTGCCAAATCCCAAGGGCATAGTAACTTCCTTGACTAACTGTCCTGCCTCATCTTCATCCTCCCCCTTTCCCCAGACTCACACTTCCCAGTCTCTGTTCTTTATCTTTCCACTCTCTACCTCCATCTCTGTTCTCTATCTTTCCACTCTCTACCTCCATATGATCAAATTTTTTAGCTCCCACATATAAGTGAGAATGTGTGATATTTGCCTTTTTGTGCCTGACTTATTTCACTTAAGATAATGGCCTCCAGTTCCATCCATGTTGCTGCAAATGACATGTTTCATTCATATAGGCTTGTCATATATGGTCTTTGTTATTTTAAGTATGTTCCTTTTATAGCTAGTTTGTTGAGAGTTTTTATGTAAATTGTATCAATTTTTATCAAAAATTTTTATCAGAAATTTTATCAAATACTGTTTCTGCATTTATTGAGATGATCATATGGTTTTGTCCTTCATTCTGTTGATGTGATGTATCCCATTTATTGATTTGTATATGTTGAACCATCTTTCCATCCCTGGCATAAATCTCACTTAATCATGGTGTATTATCTTTTTTTTTGTTTTTTTTTTTTTGAGACAGAGTCTTGCTCTGTCCCCCAGGCTGGAGTGCAGTGGCACGATCTTGGCTCACTGCAACTTCCACCTCCCTGGTTCAAGCAATTCCCCTGCCTCAGCCTCCAGAGTAGCTGGGATTACAGGCACCCACCACCACGCCCAGCTAATCTCACTTTTGTTTTGGCTGCTCAACCTCTACTTCTTATCTCACTTCTTGCTCACTTGCCCCTTCACCTTGCATTGTTAGATTGTTAATTTTAATGTTTCTACTTTTTGATGGAACAATTTATTGCTATAAATTTCCCTCTTAGCACTGCTTTTACTTTTCTCACAGGTTTTGGTATGTTGTGTTTCCATTTTCATTTCTTTCACGGAACTGTTTTTATTTCCATCTTAATTTCTTATTGACCCAATGGTCATTCAGGAACATGTTGTCTAATTTCCATGTATTTGTGTAGTTTCCAATGTTCCCTCCTTGTATTGATTTCTAATTTTATTCCATTGTGCTCTAAGAAGATAATTGATATGATTTTGGGAAATTTGTTGAGGCTTATTTTGAAGCCTAACATGTGGTCTATCCTGGAGAATGTACCACGTGCTGATGAGAAGAATGTATATTCTGTAGTTGTTGGATAGAATGTTCTGCAAATTGTTAGGTCCCTTTGTCTATAGTGCAGTTTAAATCTAATGTCTCTTTGTTGACTTTCTGCCTAGATGATATATGTCCAATGCTGAGAGTGGGGGTCAATCTTTGTGCTTCCCAACCTGCTGCTGAGGTTGCTCCTTTGGCCTGTAATAACCTCACCACTAGCATCTGTTCCCCTCACAAAGAATCAGTCACCCTTGTCAGCCTCATTATACCCAGTACAAAGGCCACCTGCTCTGGGAAACATTTCCCAAACCACTGCCCCACCCTGGGTGACTGGACCACTCCCTCCTCCATGCCCTGTACATACCTCGCTCTCTGCACCTGGCCCTTTTATGACCCTTACTTGTTTACTTGACCCTTACTTGAGGACATCTGACTCTACTCACTCTAGTTCATGCCCCCCAGGGCACAGCCAGGGCATTTCATATCTGTGTCTGCACAGCAAGGGCAGTATAGTGTGGTAGGGCTGTGCAGCTCTGAAAGCACTGCCAGGGTGGGTTGAGATCTTGGTTCTCATTTCTTTTTTTTTTTTTTTTCTTTTTGAGATGGATTCTCACTCTGTTGCCCAGGATGGAGTGCAGTGGCACAGTCTCGGCTCACTGCAGGCTCCACCCCCGGGTTCACGCCATTCTCCTGCCTCAGCCTCCCGAGTAGCTGGGACTACAGGCGCCCGCCACCATGCTCGGCTAGTTTTTTTGTGTTTTTAGTAGAGACAGGGTTTCACCATATTAGCCAGGATGGTCTTGATCTCCTGACCTCCTGATCTGCCTGCCTCGGCCTCCCAAAGTGCTGGGATTACAGGCGTGAGCCACCGCGCCCAGCCGGTTCTCACTTCTTCATATGTAATCTGATGACCCTCACAGGGTCATTGTGAGGAGTGAATAAAATATACACGTGAAGCACTTAGCACAGTGCCGGGCACAGAATCTGCATCTGATTCAACTGGGGCATAAATGGATGAAGGAACTTGTTAAATAATGACACAATGGCCGCCTTGGATTCTTTGCATTCTCGTTGGAGTGAGAAATCTCCTTTTTCTGAAAACTGACCTGAATGTGGAGGACAGACAAGTAGTGACTCTTGGCTCTGCAATCCATGAGAAGAGCTGCTGGCTTATATCCATAACTTATTTTGAGTTTTATTCAAGGACACAGAAGTCCACTTCTTCTTGGAGGAAGGACAGAATTTAGTCCAATGTCTGAGAAGCTTTAATAGGCTGCCAGGGAAAAGAATTATGAGCTGCCTCTTTCTCTGGGACATATGTGCCATTGTTTTCCTCTCAGCACAAAGACTTTGCTGTGCCCTGGGGTAGGGGCTTTGCTTCACTGTGAAACTGGCTCCAACATAGACCTTGAGATTGCTAAATGTTCTCATTCTGAGCTAATCTGGAGCCTAAAGAGGTTAACAATCCAGCAACAACGAAGAAGAATATTTTGATGGAATTTCTCCTTGTCTTTGCCATATATTATATGCCTTTTTTCAGAGTACACTATTCATCAAGAACTTGAGCTTCTCGAACACTATATTTTGGTTATAGACTTTTTTATTGCTTTTTTATGATTATAAAAATAAATACATGCCCATTGGAGAAAGCTGGGAAAAATGGAAAAGTATAACAAAAAGACAAAAATTACCCATAATTTCACACCCCAGAGATAACCACTGTTAATATTTTTGTGTGATCTTTTCACTAGTGATAGATAGATAAACAAATAAGTAGACTGACATACAAATGCATTAGGCACATTTTTCCCACAAGTGGAAAAACACCAATAATTAGATTTCTTGGTCCAACAAGCCTAGTTGTTTGTTTGTTTGTTTTGTTTTGTTTTTGAAATGGAGTCTCGCTCTGTCACCCAGGCCGGAGTGCAGTGGCTCAATCTTGGCTCACTGCCACATCATCCTCCCGGGTTCAAGTAATTCTCCTGCCTCAGCCTCCTGAGTAGCTGGATTACAGGCACGCACCACCACGCCCGGCTAATTTTTGTATTTTTAGTAGAGACAGGGTTTCATCATGTTAGCAGTCTGGTCTGGAACTCCTGACCTCGTGATCCGCCTGCCTCAGTCTCCCAAAGTGCTAGGATTACAGGCATGAGCCACCACGCCCAGCCACAGGACTAGTTTTTTACAGGCTTCAATGTGACCAAGGTGGACTGAAGGAAAAGCTATATTGAAGAAAACTCCTGAACCTGCCAACTGGGAAGGTCCCAAGAGTCCAGACTGGGTGGTCATGTAGACCCTCATCCTTCACCTGCTCATCCTGCCTAGTTAAGTGTTTGCTTAGCTCAACTCTCAGAGGCAGCAAAGGCAGCAAATGAGATGGTGAATTACAACCCAAAGCCCAGGCACTGGACTGGGCAGTGTGGTAGGGAGGTGCAGAGATTCAAGTGAAGACCTACCTGCTCCCCCTTCCCCTTCCTCCTAGATCCCTGTCAGGTCCTTTCACCTGAGCCTTGATTCCATGTGACTATGATAGTTGGTTGTTTGGTTGGTGCCCATATTTGTTTGCTAGAGCTGCCATAGCAAAGTACCACAACTGGGAGGCTGAAACGCACACATTTATTTATCACAGTTCTGGACGCTGGAAGCCTGAGCCCAAGGCATCTGCAAGGTTGGTTCCCTCTGAGACCTCTCCTAGGCTCACGGATGTCTGTGTTCTGCCTGTGTTCTCCTCATCACATGGTCATCCCTCTGTGTGTGTTTGTGTTCCAATTACCTCTTCTCATAAAGACACCAGACATATTGGATTAAGACTCATCTAATGACCTCATCTTAACTTAATTACTTCTTTATAGACCCTATTTCCAAATATAGTCACATTCTGAGGTACTAGGGGTACGACTTCAACATATGCATTTTGGGGGACACAGTTCAGCCCATGACAGCGCCTCACTAGGTGCTGGTGATACTTGATCCTGACCAGGCTGCTCCATCAACAAGAGTAATGAGTGGAAATTTCAGCTCCTTAGAACCAAGTATTTTTAAAATGAAAAAAAAATTGAACTTAATGAGAATTTGCTGTTTAACTTTTAAAAGTAAGGCATATCACAACACCAATGACATTCTTCGCAGAAATAACAAAAGTATTCCTGGAATTTGTATGGAAACACACACAAAAAAGAAACCCAAAAAGCTGAAATAAGCAAAAAGAACAAAGCTAGAGGCATCAAACTTCCTGACCTCAAAGTATAATACAAAGCAATAGTAACTAAAACAGCGTGGTACTGGCATAAAAACAGATGCATAAACCAATGGAACAGGATAGAGAGCCCAGAAATAAATCTACACCTTCATAGCCACCTGATTTTCAACAGCAGTGCGAAGATAGCACAGTGGAAAAAGGACAATTGCTTCAATAGAATGGTGTTAGAAAAACTGGATATCCACAAACAGAAAAATGAAATTACCCCCTTATATCTCACCATGTTCAACTCAAAATAGATTAAAGACTTAAATCCAAGACCCAAAACTATTAAACTACTAGAAGAAGACATAGGGGGAAAACTCCACGACACTGGTCTGGGCAATAATTTTTTTATAAAACGTTAAAAGCATGGATAACAAAAGCAAAAAGAGCCAAATGAAATTACATCAAATTTCTAAAAATTTACTAAAAAGCTTCTGCACAACAAAGGAAACAACCAACAGAGCAAAAAAGACAACCTAAATAGTGGGAGAAAATATTTGCAAACTATACATCTGACAAGCAGTTAATATCCAAAATATATAAGGAAACCAAACAACTCAATAGCAAAATAATAATAATAATAATAATAATAATAATAATAACCCAGTGAAAAATTGGCAAAAGACTTGAGTAGACATTTTGCAAAAGAAGACAGACAAATGGCCAACAGGTGTATGAAGAAAAGCTCAACATCACTAATCATCAGGAAAATGCAAATAAAAAACCACAAGGAGATATCACCTCATTATTATGGCTATTATCAAAAAGACAAAAGATAACACTTGCCATCAAAGCTGTGGAGAAAAGGGAACATTTATATATTGTTGCTGGGAATGCAAATTAGTACAGCCATTATGGAAAACAGTATAGAGGTTCCTCAAAAAATTAAAAACAGAACTACAATATGATCCAGCAACCCCACTACTGGGTATATATTCAAAGGAATTGAAATCAGTATGTTGAAGAGATATCTGCACTCCCATGTTTATTACAGCACTATGCACAATAACCAAAATATGGTATCAACCTAAATGTCCATCAAAGGACAAATGGATTTAAAAAAATGAGTTGTATATATACACATGGAATACCACTTATCCATAAAAAAGAATGAAATCTGCCATTTGTGATAACAGGATGAACTTGGAGGACATTCTGTAAGTGAAATAAGCCAGGCACAGAAAGATAAATACCGCATGATCTCACTCATCAAGATTCATGTGGAATCTAAAAAAACCTGAACTCAAAGAAGTAGAAGCTAGGCTGGTTAGAAAGGAGTGGGGAGATGGGGAGATGTTGGTCAAAGGATACATAATTACAGCTAGTTAGGAGGAATAAATTTCAAGAGATCTGTTGTATAGCAAGGTGATTATAGTTAATGACAATATATTCTCTTCTTGAAAAATGTAGAAAATGGACATTAAGTGCTCTTACCACAAGAGCGATAACTTATATGAAGTAATGCATTTGTTAATTAGCTAAATTTAACCACTCTACAATGTATATGTATATCAAAACATCATGTTTCACCCAAGAAAAACATACAAGTTATGTCAAGTAAAAAAAAAAAAAAGATGAAAAAAAAAAAAGCAAAGCAGATTTCTCTGAGCACCATCAGTGCCTGCATTGAGTTCTTTTTTATCAATGGAGCTGCTCCATGAATGGCTCTGAGTCTTGCCTGCACCTCGGAATCAACTGGGGAGCTTTTAACCCCACCCCCTACAAACCCAGGCCCCCCTATCTAAATCAGAATCCGGAGGTGGGACCTCTGGGCACCAATAGTTAGGAACACTGCCTGGGTGATTCCAACATGCAGCCAGCGGGGAGAACACCCCACAATGGCTCTGGTCCAGGGCATGGGTCTTTGGGGGCTTTGCAGGGGCTCCACGGGGCCTCCACTGAGGTTCCTTAGGATCTGCATGACTCCCTTCAGTCAGCACCTCCCAGGCAGTGAAATCCGGAGAAGGGCTTCCAGGCTGTGGCTGCCTCCCTTAGAAAACAAAACCTTTATAGAACAGGGACACAGTGAAGGACTCAGGACAAAGCAGGCAGTTGGATGCTTGTGAGACCCAGGAATGTTGTGGAGTTCACGCCTCTGGGCATCCTGTGCCCACATCAGTCACAGACAGGAAAAACCAGGAGAAGCAGCATCATGGCCCATTCCCAGAGCAACAGAAAAGCCCAGGGATCAGTGAAACTCAGGGAGACATTGGTGGCACAGGAACCTAAGTGGGATGAGCTGACCTAATAACCCAGAGGCACAGCCTAGCCAAGACCCTGCTTCTGTGGAAAGTTTTGGAGCCCCGTGGCAGAGGCCTTTCTACCCTGAGTGCTCACAAATCTCCTAAGCCAACACCAGCTCATCAGCTCCTTCTGTCACTCAAGAGAAGCCTTGAATCACGTCCATAACAATGACAACCTGCTAAGGCACTTAGATGCTCATGCTGGGCAATGTCCATTCTTCTCCTGCACTGTGCAGTCAACACCGTCCCTCAGGTGACCTGGTGGAAGTCCAGCAGACCAGCTTGAGTGAGGAACCTCCTCAGTGTCCAAAGCCACCAGGGTTTCCTTCCAGTGTGCCATTAAACCCCAAGAGGCAAGAAGCTCTCCTGCTGGAGACTCACATCCAAAATGGGGATCAGACACAGCACAAGCTGCTCCACTACCCCAGGACCCTACCCATGAGAGAATAAAACCTCTTCCTTCTCAAATTGGGCATAAGGCTCACTGTTCTTAGGTAGCTCGAACCCTCATTGGCTTTGTATCCTGAGGGTGCTGGAAAATCACTTACTAAGGAGATGGAGCAAGGGCTTAGTCAAGACACCTATGCTGTAGAAAACAGGGTTCTTCTCCAGAGACTCTGGGTGCAGCTGGCCCAGGACTTGGTGCAGACAAAGAACAATTACAGGGATGTAATTGTTCAGGATGTTTCAGAGATGGGTTTCTCGTTTGAAAAACGCCTTTCTCAGAGGATTGTTGGGAAGGTGGAATGAGATAATGCTCATAAAGCATTTAAAACGGGGTCTGTATCTGGAGCAGTGCAGTGTATGTTGGCATGGTGGTCACAGTCACTCCTCTGTATGAGCTCCATAAGTACAATCAGATACACTATCTCAGTTTTCCTCTCTGTGGTTTTGAGCCTGCTCAGAGTGGGCCTGGGGTGCCCTTCATCAAATAAACTTCTCCAGGGCTTGAGGGCTCATCAAACCCATCACATGCTGGGGCCACTGGGTAGAAAGTGGGGTCTAAGCTTTAAGAAGAGACTTCCAGTGCATAGAATTGGCATTTATACAGGACAGGTTCCAATGGCTTCAAATCAGAGATAGCACAACTATTGGGGTGCAAAACATTTTTAAGCCCCACAAAAAGCTAATTTATCATACTGGAGCCCTCACTTCTAGAATAAGTTATAATGCCATTGAGATGGTAAAAGATATACTCAGGGTCTAATAGTTGTTTGAAGATTTTTAAAGTTATGTAAAAATATTTGCATGGGCCAGGTGCGGTGGCTCACGCCTGTAATCCTGACACTTTGGGAGGCTGAGGTGAGAGGATCACTTGAGGCCAGGAGTTCGAGACCAGCATGGCCAACATGGTGAAACCCCATCTCTACTAAAAATACAAAAATCGGCTGGGTGTGGTGGTGCATGCCTGTAATCCCAGTTACTCAAGAGGCTGAGGCAGGAGAATAGTTTGAACCCGGGAGGCAGAGGTTGCAGTGAGCTGAGATGGCGCCACTGTACTCCAGCCTGGGTAACAGACTCCATCGCAAAAAAAAAAAAAAAAAAAATTTACACGAACACACACGTAAGCATGGCATGCTCCCTGACACAGTGAGTCTTTTTTCTCAAACACACATCCTAGCATAGACACAAAAGCCCTTTTCCAGGAGCAGATTTAGAAGGGCTGCCTATGGCAGTGAAGGGTGCAGAGAAAGTTGAGGGCTCGGGACATAATTCATTAGCAGAGAAAAGTTCTCATTTGCCCCCACAACTGTTTGAAAGAAATGCCCCTTGTAGGTCTTGATGCTACCTACACAGGGATGCCATGCCCTTCGTGAGATTGCTGCAGGTTTGGGGGCCAGAAAAACCCAAGTTCAAATCCTGGCTGTGCCATTTACTAGCTGTGCAACTTTTGTGTCGTAGGAACGATGCCTACTGTGCAGAGTCATCTCTAGGATTGAACAAGTCCCCAGCACAGGAGTGCCAGGGCCATCAGTGGATGGCAGGCGTGATCATTGTTCTTCATTCCTTAGCCAAACCCAGAATTTCTCAAGTTAATGTGAAAGGGACCCTCCTAACTGCAGAGAATAACTGACCATGGCCTCCATGTGTCCCCCTGAGTGTCACCTGCCTGCAAGGCCTGCCTTCCATTAACATGGACACAGGGCACAGCTTCATTTCTCCTTAGCACAGTTCACACAGACTGAAACTTGTAAAGCCAAACTTTACCAAATCCTAGTGGGGCACAAATCAAATGGAGAGCAAGGCTGGAACCTGGCTTGCAGCTCTCAAAGCTTCATCTCATGATGTTCTCCAAGCCCAGCCCCTCCCAGCCCTAAGACCCCAATTCTGGGGCTGGCTACTGACCTAACTACTTGCCTGGGCCTCATCCATCCCTCTACTCTGGTAGATAATGTATGCTAATACCACGGGTTTTTTTTCCTTGCTATTTATAAAATCCTACCACCTTTAATGAAAAAATAAGTCCCTAAGCTGGAGAAAGAGCCCCTGGGGTACAATTCTAGTGGTAAGAAGCTGCCAGGCTCTCCTGATTTTTCATGTTACTGGTTGCAGCCTGAAGGTGCATTTTCAAATAGCCTGAAGGCTTCCTCTGGTGCTCACATAGGTGCAAATGTCAACCAGCCCTTTCAATTTTGTTTCTTCAGTCCTCAACCTCCCTCCAGACCCAGGTGCGGTGTCACTGCAAAGGGGCATTTGGTTTTAAAGAAATTACCCCCTGTCTAGCACTCCTTCCTTCTGCCAATGGGGAGCTGTAGAAGAGGAAGGGGACTAAAAGAGAAAATCATAACAGGAAGGAATTGGAGCCAGCAAGGGCTAAGCTCAGAACCAGCATCCAAGACTTTGGCCTCAGTTACCTGTTACATTTTTGCTGCTGCCACCAGTCTGCCTGGGGCCTCTCTTCCTGATGCCTGCTGATACCTGGCCTAGCAGCTCTCATCCTATCAACCTATTCATCTAACTTCATTCCCTGCAAGGGCTAGTTCACTGCCCACTGCCCTGTCCTCCCTCCCCAACCTTCTCAACCCAAGCCAGTACCAGCTACATAAATTGCAAAGCCCAGTATAAAGTGAAAATGTGGGGCCCCTTGTTCAAAAGTTAAGAATCTAAAGACAGCAGCGGAGCGTTAAGCCAAGTAGAGAGCCCTTCTGAGTGTGAGACGTGGGAGACTGCACAGCCGCATGGCCAGGAGCCGGTGCTGACTCAGACCACTCCCAGTTGTCCTTGGCCTTGGCCTAAGGAGCCTGCGATGTTGTATAAAGACTCTTCCCTTGAGTTGAGAGTTAATAGCATCCTTTGAAACCAGGTTACCTAGCATGTTTTTTTCTTAAAATGCCACAGGGAAATTAAAAGTTTTCTGACGTCTAGGTACCTAACACCTCTTCCATCTTCCTTGTCCATGTCATCTGTTTATTAATTCACTCCAAAACCCAAAAATGAGCAGCCACTGTATCCCATGCGCTGTGTTGGTCTCTGTGGTTCTGAATAAATTAAGACAGAATCCCTGACCTCAAGGAAGCCGTATAAGAGACAGACTTGTGAACAAATAGTTATAAAGCCATATGACACATGCAATGAGGGAGATGGGCAAGTGCCCTGGAACCAGAGAGGACAAGCCAGCTATGTGGAAGATGTAAAGAGGGTGGGGACAGCAGGGGTAGGGGGTAGTTGGTGCTGAGCCTTGAAGCAAGAGCTTGCTCCCAAAATAAGAAGACAGAAAGGCTTGCAGAAAGGGAACAAAGCCGGCAAAGGCCAGGTGGCCCCAGTGAACCTGGCATGATTTGAAATAGCTCAAGCACAGGGTGAGGCAGCATTAGTGTACCAAGAACAAAAGGAAGATTGGGGCTAGGCTGTAAAAGGTTTTTAATGCCAAATTAAATAGTTTATATTTTATCCAATAGGCAACTGGAACCCACCAGAGGGAGGAAGGGGACATGGTCAGATCTATCTTCCAGCAAAAGCATGAAGGGCAGATTGGAGGTGCTCAGGAGGAGAGTCAGGGCGTCTGGAGGCAATTGCAGTTTTCAGGCCAAATCACAAGGGCTTAAATGTAGACCAGAAGTTCTCAGCAGGGCAGCAGTTTTGCCTCCCAGGAAATGACTGGTAATGTCTGAAGACATTTTTGGTTGTCCTGATAGGGCGGTGGCTGCTTTTGGCCTCTAGTGGGTTGAGGCCAGAGATGCTGCTAGACGTCCTACTACACACAGGACAGGCCCGTGAGCATGATCAGGCTCAAACTATCAATGGTGCCAAGGTTAAAAATCCTTGATGTAGACAATGATAGCAAAGACCGTGAGGCTGGAAAGAAATCCAGAGCTATTTAGGAATTAGAACAGGAAGAACTTCAAAACCAGTTAGATACTGACAAGGAGCCAATTGCTATATCTTGAAGGAAATTGTGCAGTCTTTGTTTGTTGTTGTTGTGGTGGTGGTGGTGGTGGTGGTTGTTGTTTTGAGACAGGGTCTCGCTCTGTTGCCCAGGCTGGAGTGCAGTGGCGCAATCACAGCTCACTTCGGCTTCGACTTCCTAGGTTCATTATGCTTTTGGGTTAATTTCTTACCAGTGGTATCTGTGATAAATTACAGATTGACAGGGCCACCTCATCAGTAAAGGTGGCTGGAAGATACCACCTTGGTGAGTGAGCAGGTCCAAGCCCCGGGCTGGTTACAAAGCCAGCTGGTTCTGGAAGTTTTGATTCCTGAGATGGCCAACAACTTACTCACATGCAGAGGGAAAATAACACTTAGAAAGAAAAATAAGAGTTTTGAAAAGAGAGGGGGGTGAATGAAAAGCCTTTAGGGAAACTGGCTTGTTACTAAGACAGATGTGAACTAAACAAGACAGACGTGAACTAAACAAGACAGACGTGAACTAAACAAGACAGACATGAACTAAATCAACTCTCTGATCTTATGGAGCAGGGGAAGGGGAAAAGTCAAGGAGCCCTCACACACACTCACCACATCTCAGGGCCCCTGGAGTCCTCTGTATTACCCGCATTCATACCTCCCCAACTGTAACCATCATCATCATCATAGCTAACCATGATCATCATCATCATAGCTAACATTTATTGAGTGATTTCTATGTGTCAAAAACATTAGTTAGGTGCTTTACATACCTTTTACCTCATCTGATGCCAACAATTTTGTCACACCTTCATATCCATTATTGTGCCTGTTTCACAAATGAGAAAACTGAGTGAGGTTTAAAAAATTAACTTTTTTTTTTTTTTTTTTTTTGAGACAGAGTCTTGCTCTGTCGCCCAGGCTGGAGTGCAGTGGCGCAATCTCTGCTCACTGCAAGCTCTGCCTCCCGGGTTCATGCCATTCTCCTGCCTCAGCCTCCCAAGTAGGTGGGACTACAGGCGCCCGCCACCACACTTGGCTAATTTTTTTTTGTATTTTTAGTAGAGACGGGGTTTCACCGTGTTAGCCAGGATGGTCTCGATCTCATGACCTCGTGATCTGCCTGCCTCGGCCTCCCAAAGTGCTGGGATTACAGGCGTGAGCCACGGCACCCGGCCAAAAAATTAACTTCTTTACCCTAGGGGCAGGGCAAGATGGCAGAATAAAGGACTCCACCAAACATCCCCACCCCTACACAAGAACACCAAGTTTGACAACTATCTACTCAAAAGGAGCACTTTCATAGGAACCAAAAATCAGGTGAGCACTCACAGTGCCTGGTTTTGACTTCAAATTCCTGAGAGAGGCACTGAGGAGGGTGAGAAGGACAGTCTTGAGTTGCTGATGCCACCCTTCCCCCATCCCCTGGCAGTGGCTACATGGCACAGAGAATCTGTATATACACTTGAGAGAGGGAGAATGCCATGACTGTGAGGCTTTGCATTGAACTCAGTGCTGCTATGTCACAGCGGAAAGCAAAACTGAGCTATACTCAGCTGACACCACGGAGGGAACATGTGGACCAGCCCTGGCCAGAGGGTACTCACCCAGCCCAGCAGTCAGAGCATGAGTTCCAGCAAGCCTCACCCCCATTGGCTGCAGTGCTTTGGGACCCTAAGTGAACTTGAGGAGCAGTCTACGCAACAAGGACTGCAATTCCTAGGCAAGACCTAGTGCTGAGCTGGGCTTGGAGTTAGTGAACTGGTGGGGCACATGAGACACCAACTGTGGTGTCTAAGGAAGTGTTTGCACCACTCCTTCCCCAACCCCAGGCAGCACAGCACACAGCTCCAAAAGAGACCCCTTCCTTCTGCTTGAGGAGAGGGAAGAGTAAAGAGGATTTTGTCTCGCATTTTGGATACCAGCTCAGCCACAGTATGTTAGGGCACTGATAAAGGCTGTGAGGCCCCCATTCCAGGCCCTAGCTCCCAGACAACATTTCTGGACACACCATGGGCCAAGGGAGCCCATTGTCTTGAAGGATGAGTTCCTATGCCTGGCAACATTCACCACAAGCTGACTGAAGTTCCTTTGGTCCTTAACTGAGCATCAGTGGTAGCCTGGCAGTACTCCCCACGGGCCTGGTGAGGCTCCTCTGCCTGTGAGAATGGGATGTAAGAATGAGAAGGACTGCATCCTGTGGTTTGAGTTCCAGCTCAGCTGCAGTAGAATAGAACAACAGGTAGACTTCTAAGATTTTAGATTCCCATCCATGGCTCCAGATGGCATCCCTGGACCCACTCAGGACCTAGGGGACCTCACCAACCTGAAGGGAAGGATGTAAGCCTGGCTGGCGTCACCACCTTTGCTGATTGTAGAGCCCTAGGGCCTTGAGCAAATAGGCAGTAGCCAGGTAGTGGTTACAGCAGGCCTTGGGCAAGACCCAGTGTTGTGCTGATACTCCATATCCGACCCAGCACAGTCCCAGTGGCGGTGGCCACAGGGGTGCTTGTGTTACTCTACCCCTGGCTCCAGACAGCTCAACACAGAGAGAGAGACTCCATTTGTTTGGGAGAAAGTAAGGGAAGAAAAAAGAGTCTCTGCTTGGTAATCCGGAGAATTCTTCTGGACCTTATCAAAGACCACCAACGTGATACCTCTACAAGTGTGCAAGAACCACGGTGCTACTGGGCTAGGGGTGCCCACTAAAGCAGATACAGCTTAGATCATAGCACCCAAGTCCTTTTGAATACCTGGAAACTGTTCCCAAGGAGGACAGGCTCAAACAAACTCAGACTGCAAACATGGCAATAAATACCTAACTTTTTAATGCTCGAACACTGACGAACATCCACAAGCATCAAAGCCATCCAGGAAAACAAGACCTCATCAAATGAACTAAATAAGGCACCAGGGACCAACCTGGAGAAACAGAGATATCTGACCTTTCAGACAGAGAATTCAAAATAGCTGTTTTGAAGATACTCAAAGAAATTCAAGATAACACAGAGAAGGAATTCAGAATCCTGTCAGAAAATTTAACAGAGATTGAAATAATTGAAAAGAATCAAACAGAAATTCTGGAGTTGAAAATTTCAATTGACATACTGAAGAATGCGTCAGAGTCTCTTAATAGCAGAACTGCTCAAGCAGAAGAAAGAATTAGTGAGAATAGACAGGCTATTTGAAATTATATCGCCAGAAGAGACAAAAAAAATTTTTTTTTAATGAAGCACACCTACAGGATCTAGAAAATAGCCTCAAAAGGGCAGATCTAAGAGTTGTTGGCCTTAAAGAGGAGGTTGAGAAAGAGATGGGGTAGACAGTTTATTCAAAGGGATAGTAACAGAGAACTTCCCAAAACTAGAGAAAAGTATCAAGATCTGAGTACAAGAAGGTTATAGAACACCAAGCAGATTGAACCCAAAGAAGAC
Organism: Homo sapiens; assembly: GCF_000001405.40. Classification (NCBI taxonomy): domain Eukaryota; kingdom Metazoa; phylum Chordata; class Mammalia; order Primates; family Hominidae; genus Homo; species Homo sapiens. The sequence continues at coordinate 150,844,051 of NC_000007.14, forward strand.
CACTTCAAGGCACTTAATAATCACACTCCCAAAGGGCAAGGATTTTTTTTAAAAATGATCCTAAAAGCAGCAAGAGAAAAAAAAAAAAAAAACAAGTAACATACAATGGAGGTCCAATACATTTGGCAGCAGACTTTTTAGTGGAAATCTTACAAGCCAGGAGATAGTGGCATGACATATTTAAGGTGCTGAAGGAAAAAACTTTTACTCTAGAATTATATATCTGGTGAAAATATCCTTCAAACATGAAGGAGAAATACTTTCCCAGACAAACAAAAGCTGAGGAATTTCATCAACACCAGACCTGTCCTACAAAAAAATGCTAAAGGGAGTACTTCAATCAGAAAGAAAAGGATGTTAATGAGCAATAAGAAATTATCTAAAGATACAAAACTCACGGGTATTAGTAAGTACACAGAAAAACACAGAATACAACACTGTAACTGTGGTGTGTAAACTACTTTTAAGTAGAAAGACCAAAATATGAACCAATCAAAAATCATAACAACTTTTCAAAACATAGACAGTACGGTAAGATATAAATGGAAACATCAAGAGTTAAAAAGTGGGGGAAGGCCTCACATGGTGGCTTCTGCCTATAATCCCACAGGGCACCCCTGTAATCCAAGCACTTTGGGAGGCCAGAGGTAGGCAGATTGCTTGAGCTCAGGAATTCAAGACCAGCCTGGATGACATGGCGAAACCCCATCTCTACAAAATATACAAAAATTAACTGGCATGGTGGCTCACATCTGTGGTCCCGGCTACTTTGGGGGCTGAAGTGGGAGGATCGCTTGAGCCCCAGAGGCGGAGGTGGCAGTGAGCTGAGATCACGCCATGCACCTCACTTCAGCCTAGATACAGAGTGAGATGCTGTCTCAAACAAAAAAAAAAAAGAACAAAAAGTAGGGGAACAAAGATAAAGAGAAAGTCTTTATTAGTGTTCTTTTTGCTTTTTAGTTTGCTTGTTTATGCAAGTAGTGTTAAGTTGTTATCAACTTAATAGATTGTAAGAGTATTTGCAAGCCCTGTGGTAATCTCAAATCAAAAAACATACAACAGATGCACAAAAATTAAAAAGCAAGAAATCAAATCATACCACCAGAGAAAATCACCGTCTCTAAAAGGAAAAGTTAACCGCTTTTCCCACATAACATCCAACTAAAAGAAGTAGAACCTGGATTCAAACTCAGGCCTTCTGGCTCTATATCCTGTACCAGTAACCATGCTGCTATATTTCCTTCCAAAATTGTGCTCAGCAAAGGGCTGCACAGAGGCAGTGACTGTTCTGGTGATTTCTGAAGTCCTACATGCTACCTCCAATATGCACCTGGAATGTCATAGTCACCAAAATGGTTTAACACAAATACATCCCTGCACCACACAAGGTCACATGTCTACCAACACAAATTCTTTATTTCAAAGATCAGCAACATATTTTAACTTCTGCTTCCTGATTTTCTGGCCTCTTGATTTTTTTCTTCTTTAAGAATCCAATGCACATTTCGTGAGGTAGCTACTAAAGAGAGCCAGGAGGAAGGAAGAATTCTGCTGTGTCTACTGCCCAGCCCCGGCTGCCAGACACAGCTGCAGCTGGAGGGAGGAATGTGGGATTTGACGGGGAAGCTGTCAGCTGGCCAGCACTGCCAGGCATGGTCAGTGAAGATACAAAGAGCGCCTGGAGGACCCAGCCCTGGTCTCTGACTCCTCACAAAGGTCTCCTTGGGGCTCCCTCCACCCTTGCCCCTCATGTGCCTTGGGATCCAGCATCAAAGTCCAGAAGTGGGCTCAGCCAGCAGCCAGCCATGCTCACACACTGAAGCATCCTGACTCAGCTCCTGGCTGCCCCAGCAGAGCAGAACCTCTGCCCGAACTTGGGGTCACCTGGCTCTTCTCTCTGGAGTCTCATATCCCAGCCCTCAGCAAATCTCCCCCAGCCTCCCTTCCAGCTACATCCAGAATGTGGCCACTTCTCATCACTTCCACCCCTGCAACCCTGACCTGGCAACCAGCCTTGCCCCCCAAGACTATTGCAACCACCCCCCGGCCTGCTCTCTGCTCCTGCCATCATTGCAGCCTTCACTCTTTTGCATTCTGTCTCCCCCAGCACCTCCAGATAGCACTTGCTAGAGGCAGGTCAGTTTTGGCCTCTGCACGAACCTGACAGAGGCTTCCCAAGTGGCTCAGAGTAAAATCCCAGTGACAGCCTTGGAGGCGAGGGCGTTTGGTCACTCTCTGAATCCACCTGCCACCACTTGCCCCTGGCGACAGCAGTCCCCTCACTCTGCATCAGGGACTTTGCATTCCTTGCTCCTTCAGCCTGAAATGCCCCCGCCACCAGGCATCCTTGTGGCCCACTCCTTCACCACATTGAGGAGAAGAGGAGTCCCCTTTCTGAAAGGTCAGGCCCTGCCCCCACCACATGCCCCTGCTCTGTTTTCCCCTGAGCATGTGCCCCACTGGAACACACTGGGTCACCACTTGCCGCCAACGCCTGCAGGACACCTCTCTGAACACCCGTGACACCTCATGGCACCTCTGCTGTCAGAGCTTCACTAGGACTCACCAGACTAAGCAGACAGTTATACCCACGGCCAACACACAGCAAGGACACAGCGGGGTCTGGAGGGGTCAGGGCACAGACTCGCTGAGCTCTCCCTCCCATGAAGGCTGCACAGAGCATACCCTGCGCCCTGCATCTCCCCAGGGAAGTAGAAGCTCAGAGCTGGGGCAGAGGTTGGGGCTGGTCACGTAGGCACACTCTCTGCCCACCACAACTAACAAGATTCCAGATTCCCAATAGGAAAGCAGGTGTTCACTAATCACATTGTCTGTAAAAACAGTCAGCAGGCCGGCACAGCGGGGCAGGATCCTGAAAGTTAAGTTCCCAGATGCCAGCCCAGGGCCAGCCCCTGTCATCAGCTGTCCCAGTGAGGAGGTCTGCTGTGAAGGCTCACAAGCTTCGCTGTTGGATAGTCTTCACTAAAATATGAGCCCCATAGAGGCTTTGGTTTTGTTTGTTCGTTGCTGTGTCTCCCTGGTGCAGAATGAGTGCTCCATAAACATTTGTTGAATGAATTAAGGACTGTCAAGTATAAGCCCACCAGCCAGTGGCAGAAGCAGGGCTAGCACCTGGAGATGAACGTTCTCCCCTCTCTGGGTGGGGCTGCCCAAGCCATCAGGACCTCACCAGGGCCCCTTATGACCAATGGCCCTGCCTCAGAAAATGGTGGAATTTTCTTTTTTACAAACCCACCTTCCCTAATCAGGGACAAAAGCTATGATGTTGGCTTCATTCACATAAAGATCTAATCGAATGAGCTTCCCTGGTGTACCCCCAGTAGGTCCTGGTGCAGGCGCGGGTTGCTCTGTTTCTTCTCTGTGGTTTCGTGGAAACAATCCCACTCTCTAGATCCTCTCAAATTAGCTCTGACAGGTTGTGACTTTCTGAAAGCAAAATATCAAGATTTAGCCACAGGACATGGTGAGCTGTGACCTCTGGCTTCCTAGCTCCACCTTTGTATATAGCGCTGCCCCTCCTTAGGCCTGGACCTCCTTAAGAAAGGCAAGCAGCGAACAACTGACAGGATACGGTCTTTGCCCAAGTGCTATCTCTAACTGTCAGCAATCATTAATTCCACAAGCGAGGAACCACACCTCAGAAACCAAGGTCACCTTCAGTATGGAGGGGCCAGCCCCAGCCAGGGAGCAGGAAGAGAGGTGGCAAGGCAACAGACCCCAAATTTCAAGTGTGACATCTCAAGTTCCCCAGCCACAGTGCACACAAACATGAGCAGAAACAATGGCCTTGGCCAGACATGGTCACTCATGCCTGTAATCCCGGCACTCTGGGAGGCCAAGGCAGGAGGATCACTTGAGGCCAGGAGTTCAAGACCAGCGTGGGCAACACAGCATGACCCCGTCTCTACAAATATATATATGTATATAACAACAGACTTACCAGCTTTTCTGCACAAGGATTCTGTTCGCCTCAGCTTTCCCAGTGCCTCTCTAGAGGGCTTCTCTATCTCCTCTGTCTCTATAGGATTCCCACAAGCCCCTCTTCACCCCCACACTTCTCTAGAAGCGCATAGGGAGGTTCCTCACTCTACCTCCTCCTTCCAGACACACCACCTGCCCTTCCTCAGCACAGCGACACAAACCGCACCCCACTCCCCGCATCAGCCCTGACCTTTTCCCATGTTGGGAAACACACCACATCTCAGTTCAGGACTCTGCTCCTACCCCCACTCACACTCCCACTCCCACCCCCGCCCCTGCCCAGTGTGTCCTCTTCCTCCTAAGTCCCTCGTGTATCGCAAAACCCCACACAGGCTCTACCTTGTGGATCCTCGGGGCAGCAGCCCCCCAGGGCACAGGGCTTGGAATTCACTCACTGGCCAAGGACCATGCTCTCTGCAATGAGGCAGGTAAAGAAGGTGTGCTGGGTTGCATAGCATCCCCCTAAAAATTCATGTCCTCCCTGGAACCTCAGAATATGGTCTTATTTGGAAATAGGGTCGTTGCAGATGAATTAGTTAGGATGATGTCATACTGGAGTAGGGTAGGCCCTCAATACAATCACTGGTGTTCTTGAAAATAGAGGTACTGAGACAAGGAGGACGCCATGTGAGGACAGAGATTGGAGTGACATGGCCACAAGCCAAGGCACTGAGGGACACCAAGGATTGCTGGCAACACAGAAGCTGGAAGAGGAGAGGAAGGACCCTCTTCTTGAGCCTCCAAAGGGAGCATGGCCCTGCCTACACCTTGATTTCACACTTTAGGCCTCCAGAACTGTGAGACAACCCATTTCTGTTACTTTAAGCCCCTGTGTGTGGTCCTCTGTGACAGCAGCCATGGAGGCTACTGCAGAGGGGATAGAGTCCCAGGACTTGGGGGCTTGCAGTCTTGAGGGGAATCTCCTTCCAAGCCCTTGCAGGACAGGCCCTTGGGCATCAATGTGTTGCACTTACTCTGTGCCACCTTGTAATATTAATCCTTCTATGTACATGTTATGGGCCCCGTTACATAAAAAATGCAATTCTTTCTGGTGTGCTTCAGCTCCCTGCCTACACGCAGTGTTCCTCCCTGCCCTCACTGCATCCTCCAGGTGCGGGACCTGTGGTGGTTCCTGTCCTCAGCCACATCTACCCTGGTGTGAGGACCTGTAGTCACTCAGTCTGTCTCCCAGGCCTTTCTTTTATTTATTTATGGACGTCCATTGCAGAACTGAATTAATTCTACCTCAGTGCATGGATGTCGTCATCACTGGCCCATACAAGTCCTCTCTCTTGTCTTTCTCACGTGTGTATGTATGTATTCCCACTCCCACCCCCGCCCTCACATCCATTCTAATGTGTATCCACTCTTGAAAGCGGGTGGCTTGGTGTGTACGTGTTTCCTGTTGTGTAATGGCATCGTGCTATCACTCATCCTGCGTCTTCCATGATCCTGAGATCCCTTCTCAGGAGTGGCTGTGTGGACATCCATGCCTTTGCACCCGCCAACTGCACAACACCCCATGGTGTGCAGTGACCACTCTCCTGGGGGTGGCACCCCGATGGCCTCCAGCTCCCCAGCCTCACAGCCACTTGTGTCTGCATCCCACCTCTAGGCCTGGGTGAGAACCTCTTTGACATATATTCCAAGAGACAGAGTTCCTGAGTCTGGAGAGCATGCAATTCTCTCATTTGCCCACACCCTGCAAAGTGCCCTCCAGAATGGCTGTGCCATCAATAACCCCTTCCCACAACCACACATAAGGTCCCCGTTTCCCCACATCTCTGTCAACACTTGGCATCATCCAGCTTTCCCATGAAAAATTATATCTCGTTGTTGAATGCTTTGCATTTTTCTAGTAACCACTACATTTGAGCATCTTTCCATGTGCTCTTTAGCCCTTTGGGGTGCCTCTTCTGCAAGTTACCCTTGGGATTCTTTACCAGGTTTCCATGGGGACTGCTGCCTCTTTCTGACCGATTTGCAAGAGCTCCTTGTGTATTCTAGATATTAGTCCTGTCACTTTTTGAAAACAGCTTTATTGAGACACACCTTACAATTCACCCATTTAAAGTGTATAATTCAATGCATTTTAGTACATTCACAGGTACATGCAGCCATCACCTTCAATTTTAGAACTTTTTAATCACCTCAAAAAGAAACCCCATAAGCATTAGCTCTCACCCCATCCCTCCATCGCACCCCAGCCCTAAGCAACCACTAATGTGCTTCTCATCTGCTTGAGAGATTTACCTACCCCACACGTTTCATATAAATGGAATAATGTGGTCTTTTGTGACTGGCTTCTTTCATTTGCCGTAGTGGTTTTAAGGTTCATCCACATTGTGTCATGTAACAGTGATTCCTTCCTTTTTATGACTGAATGATGTTCCATTGAGTGGATAGACCACATTTTGTTGACTCATTTATCAATGCAGAGACATATGAGTCGTCTCCACTGTTTGGCTATTGTGAATAACACTGCAGTAAACACTCTGGTACAGGTTTCCCCATGGACATAGGCTTTCCTTTCTCTTGAGCATATACCCAGGAGTGGGATTGCTGGGTTATATGATAACAACGTTAAGTCATTTGAGGAACAGCCAGACAGTTTTCCGAAGTGGCTGCGTCATCTCACCATGAACTGCCTGTGAGGCTTCCAGTTTCTCTGCCTCCTGGCCCCACCTGTTATTACCTTGCTTTTGAATTCTAGCCATCCTAGTGGATATAAAGTGGTATCTCCTGGTGGTTTTGATTTGCATCCCCTGATGACTAATGACATTGAACAGCTTTCCATGTGCATATTGGCCATTTGTGTATCTTCGTGAGGGGAATATCTATTCAGATCTTTGGCTCATTTTTAATTGGATTATTTGCCTCTTATTATGGAATTGGAAGAGTTCTTCTTACATTCTAGATATAATTTTCTTATCAGATATATAATCTGTGAATATTTTCTCCCATTCTATGCTTTGTCTTTTCATTTTCCTGTGGGTGTCCTTTGAAGCATAAAAGTCTTTTAATACTGATGATGTCAATTTATCTATTTTTTTTTCTTTGGTTATTTGTGCTTTGAGGTCACATCCAAGAATTAGATGTAAAGTCAAGCAGATTTACTCCTATGTTTTCTTTTTAAGAGTTTTACAGTTTTAGCTCTTACATGTATGTCTTTGGTCCCTTTCGAGTCCGTTTCCGTGTGTGAAAGGGTCTAACTCCATCATGTGCATGTGGCCCCTTTCCCTTTAAATCTTTGCAAGTCTCTTTTCTCGATCCATCCTCACTCCATTAACTTTGTCGCAGTTTCCTTTGTGGAATGGAAACAGATTGTAGTCCTCAAAATCAGGTTGTTCCTGAAACTCTCTTCTAATCCAAATCCCCCCAATTCTCTGCGGAGTTGGTGAGCCCATAACTGAGAATACATAACTCACAGTCCTCTTGAACACTGAGGGTGAAAGACGTTAGCATTCATTGTCTTTGTATCAATCATCATTTTAACATGGAAGGCAAATCCCCTTCCTCAGAAACACCAAAGACCTTCTGGAATTGCAAGCAAGCTTCAAGTTGACTAAGTGTGTTCACCTTCCTTCATCTAGCTGCCAGTGCACACTGAAATGGCTTGCATTGCGGGCAGCAGGAAGGATGATGATGAGAAATACAAAACCCCTATAACCACAAAGCGGTGTGCAATCCCTGAGCAACCAAACCTTGGTAATGGGGGATGATGACCCCTTGGCACTCCTGAGCCACGAACTTTTCCTGACTCTATTCTTTCCTTTCCAACTAGGAGTTACCCCGGTCACCACGTTCGCCCTTCTCAACCTGACTAAGTGGGCGTTAGCACTGTCCGCCCACTGCATGGGCACTACCTGCCCCAGTGTCCTCTCCCCTCTCCGCTCTGTGCCATAGCCTTAGCTACCCTGGCCAGCTTTCTCCCAGCCAAGTCCTTCCTCCTTTCTGAATCTGGTCAGGGTCTCAAAGATCGTTAAAAAGCCGCCAAAGTTTGCAACTCGTCTTGAGTGGCTGCTCCTCCCAAACGGTTCTGCCTCTGGTGTCTTGTTCTAGGAGCGGTTGAATTCTCTGTTTTGCTGTGGGTGCCAGCCTCTATCAGCCCCTGCCCTGGTCCATCTGTCAGCTTCAGGTAAGACTACCGGCTAGGAAATGGCCCCTTGTCCTTATCTCTGCCTCTAAAATATGCCACCTAAATTAACAGATCGTGGCATTGCATGGCTCGTCACAGAGAAGCCAAGGCAAATTCTTGTGGAAGGCGGCACTTGTCTGGAAACAGACTCAGGACAAGTGTGCTGCACAGCCAGCTTCCTCAAACCCACTCTCGCCACTGTAGCTGCCCACAGAGGCACCTCCCAAGCCATAGGCCCCTCCTAGGCCAGCTCAGGCCTCACCTTGTCCCTCCCTGCAGGGCGGGGTCTGATTGACTTCAAGAAGGAGTCAGAGATCAGCTTAAGGGCAAAGGCTGGAAGCAGAGCGAACTGGGAGCAGAGCACACAGGTGCGTTCTGATGGGTATTCGGGAGAGTCAAGAAGGGGCTGACCTGGAGGACAGAAAAGCAGTGGAAGGAGGGCACAGAGTGAGGGGCAGAAGAAACAGGACACAGAGGGAGGAGGGCCAGGAAGTGAGGGCGGGAGCCCAGCACATCACAGAAGGTGCCCGGGTGCTTGGTGGCAGGCAACAGCCGGCCAGGGTGGAGTGGGGAAAGCTCAGAGAGGAGGGTGAGCAGGGAGAGGGCTTGCTTCCTGTTCCTGCCTGGAGGTCTCACCAGCCACCACCCCCACTGCCACTGCACATGGGGACAGAGGTTTGTCCTGGGGAAAGCAAAGGTCTCTTCCACATCTTTCTCCTTCCTGGAAAAGCAAAAAGAAACGTGGGTATAAGAGGTTGTAAAAAAGGAGACCCAGCCGTGAAAGGACATGGAGGTACCCTAAATGCACACTGCCAAGCAAAAGAAGCCAATCTGAAAAGGCTGCAGACTGTAAGATTCCAAATACAGGACGTTCTGGAAAAGGCAAAACTATGGAGACAATAAAAAGAGCAGTGATTGCTAGGGTTTCGGAGGAAGAGGTGGAGCACAGAAGATTTTGGGGGAGGTGGAACTATTCTGTGTGATATTCTAATGGTGGATCCATGTCATTGTCCGTTTGTCCAACCCATAGAATATGCAGCAGCAAGAGTGAGTCCTGATGTAAACTGTGGGCTCTGGGTGAGAGTGATGTGCAGGTTCATCAGCCACAAATGTATGGCTCTGGTGTGGATATTGATAGTGGGGAGGCTGCGTGTGTAGGGGCTGTGAGTATACAGAAACTCTCAGTACCTTTCGCTCAATTTTGCTATGAACCTAAAATTCCTCTTTAAAAGACTCCTATTTAAAAGACTTTAATAGACTTTATAAAGTTTGTTAAAAGACTTTTAATAGACTTTTTAAAGACTTTTAACAGACTTTATAAAGTCTATTAAGAAATCTATTAAAGTCTATTTTTAAAAGTCTATTAAAAAAAAAGTCTACTATAATCCCAGCACTTTGGGAGGCCAACGCAGGAGGATCACTTGAGCCCAGGAGTTCAAGACCAGCCTGGGCAACATAGTGAGATCCTGACTATATATATATATATATATATATATATATATATATATTTATTTATTTATTTATTTAAGTCTAATAAGAAGTCTATTTGGGGCCAGGCCTGGTGGCTCATGCCTGTAATCCCAGCACTTTGGGAGGCTGAGGCAGGTGGACCACTTGAGGTCAGGAATTCAAGACCAGCCTGACCAACACGGTGAAACACCATCTCTACTAAAAACAAAAAATTAGCCGGGCATGGTGGTGCACACCTGTAATCCCAACTATTCCAGAGGCTGAGGCAGGAGAATTGCTTGAACCTGGGAGGCAGAGGTAGCAGTGAGCCAAGATCGCATCACTGCACTCCAGCCTGGGCTACAGAGCAAGACTGTCTCAGGAAAAAGAAAAAATAGTCTATTTAAAGAAGAAAAAAAAGAGGCCTGGCCAATATTTAATAGGAGAACACAAGAACTCACCTCATATCCTTCCTGCTGGCTCTGGGTTCCGCCTGCAGCCCCTGCCTCACCTGCTCCCTCCAGGTAAGCAGGGCCTCCGAGAGCCCAAGATCATGTGGGTTCCAGGGTCTTCTGCCAGCACCAGAGGGCAAGACAAGGCAACTAGAGGGACATCCCCATGAGAGGCCATGACCATGGAGCAAAACGAGGGCAAGGGGAGAGCCCTCGGGGAGAGGGGCATGGGAAAGGGAGAGAAGGACATCTCAGATCAGCCTTTACCGTGGCCTCCAGGGCTAGAGAGCCCTCGGGTGATGGAACAGGCCCAGCCAACACCTTTCATTTGTCTATGAATCAAGAACTGCCCATCGTGTACAAATTAAATACAAAGTGCTAAGGGGACTAGTGGAGAAGTATGTTAGTTGGGGCCAAAAACAGCATTCCTCGGCAGTGCGGGGTTTCAGCTGACCTCAAAAGGTGGCAAAGGATGTGACACTGGCCCAGAGTCGGGTGGGAAGGGACAATGTGCAGCTGAGCTTCTCTGGAGGAAAAAAGCCACGGGAAAACAGGGCCTCTAGTTAACACATGGGTTGTGTTCCCAACGCTTGTGCTTCGGAAATGTGATGTGTAAATGCATTTTCCAAAAACAAAAGCAAGAAATGAAAAGCGCTCATGATGGTCAGGTTTCCTCAGTGGGTCACTCCACGATACACCCAAAGTGGAGCTGCTGCACCTCAGTTACACCTCACACCCTGTGCCGCCGACTTTCCAGGTGAAATCCTCGGGGCCTCCCTTGCAGGCAGCCTGGGCCCCCTGGGAAGAGGCTGGGCCAGGCAGAGGTCTGAGACAGGAGTGGATTAACCCTCTCTGCTACCTGTCTGTCTGCACAGGAGAACGAGTTTTCTCCAGGTTTACCCCCAGGGCTTCTGATTTAGGGAGCAAAAGGCAACTACCTATGAAAATATGAAAACAAGGATCTCTCAGAGTCCAACCCACTCATGCATCCACCTTATAAATCAAGTGTCTGTGCCTCAGGCACTGCTTGCAGGAAGTGAAAAGCACAGCTGAGACAGGGAGGAATCCTGAAGCGGGGCTCCCAGCTCAACCCAGAGCCTTGAGGAAGGGGGTGCAAGGTGGCAAAGGCAGTGCTTCTGTAGGGAAATTTCACGGTGACGGCAGCCTTCCAGGGAGGCCCACATCACCTAGGAGGACAAGTTAGGGTCTGGAGAAACTAAGGCTGGGAGACAGCTCCAGCCAGCATCTGTAGCAACAGCGCAACAGGCAAGAGTAACAGTCTCCCAGAGACTCCGCACACAGCACATGGGAAGACAGAGCTGTGGCCACCACGTCTCCCAGCCCTGCAGGAGGCTCACAGCTACAAGCACAGGATTTTACAGCTGCTTGGGGAATGGGGTTATGAGGTGAAGACCCTGACCCACCCTCCCTGAGAAAGGAAAAGGCATCTTCCTAAGATGAAACCCTCCCTGAGGTCCCCTCCTAGTAGCCTTGGGTGGACAAGAGAGGTGAATGGGGCACAAAGAAGGCTAGGCAGGACTGGGCACCTCTACCTCACCCCCAAAGCCATCAGTCTGCAGCCTAGTCACACCTGAATCACTCTACATTGCGTAAAACTTTAAATGGGCTGGTGTCGATAGCCTGTATTTAACAAGAAGAGCAGCTAACATTTCTCATGTATTTCCCATATGGCAGACATTGTTACAAACACTTTATATTTACTGTTTAATTGATTTCTCTCCACAACCCTAGGAGCTAAGCACTGTTGTCATTATTTTCATTTTAAAACTAAGAACATGAAGGCCCAGAGAGTTTAAGCAGCGTGCCCAAGGCCACACAGCAAGTCCTAGTGGCATGAGTCACTGGGACTTGACTCAGACAGCCTGACTCTAGAGCCTACCTTTGAATTTCTACACTAAATTTCAAAATCTGTCTACCTAAAAGGTATTTCGTTGTGTCAGAAATGTAGTTTTGCTGTTAATACAGGTGTCTTCTTCTCCAGGACACAAGAAGCACCTGGGGGCATGTGCAGGGGCCCAGCCTGGCCTCTGTGACTCACGGCACCCCTGGCTGAGATAATACACAAAAACAAGGGTGTTCCCCTGAGTAAGGAAGGCTGCAGGACTGAAGGACATTTACAGAGGAGTGAGGAGAGGGCAGAAATAAATGGATGGATGCACAGGCAGCGGCCCGACGGCGCTGGGGACTATGCATGGGGCCCCAGCTGCCCCAGGACAGCCTCCAGCTTGGGGCAGGGCAAGGGGAGGAAGCTCAGTCCATGGGAAAATTCCATGGCCCTAACCTGAGGGAAGCCCATCTCTGCCCATAAGACAACTAAGTTCATCTCCTCTATTGCATTCCAGAGCCGTGGAGCGAGAGATGCCGGCCCTGGGCTGGGCCGTGGCTGCCATCCTGATGCTGCAGACGGCCATGGCGGAGCCCTCCCCGGGGACTCTGCCCAGGAAGGCAGGGGTGTTTTCAGACCTAAGCAACCAAGAGCTGAAGGCAGTGCACAGCTTCCTCTGGTCCAAGAAGGAGCTGAGGCTGCAGCCCTCCAGTACCACCACCATGGCCAAGAACACCGTGTTTCTCATCGAGATGCTGCTGCCCAAGAAGTACCATGTGCTGAGGTTTCTGGATAAAGGTGAAAGGCATCCTGTGCGGGAAGCCCGTGCCGTCATCTTCTTTGGTGACCAGGAGCATCCCAATGTCACCGAGTTTGCTGTGGGGCCCCTGCCAGGGCCCTGCTACATGCGAGCACTGTCCCCCAGGCCTGGGTACCAGTCCTCCTGGGCATCGAGGCCCATCTCCACAGCAGAGTATGCCCTCCTCTACCACACCCTGCAGGAAGCCACCAAGCCCCTGCATCAGTTCTTCCTCAATACCACAGGCTTCTCATTCCAAGACTGCCATGACAGATGCCTGGCCTTCACCGATGTGGCCCCCCGGGGTGTGGCTTCTGGCCAGCGCCGCAGTTGGCTTATCATACAGCGCTATGTAGAAGGCTACTTTCTGCACCCCACTGGGCTGGAGCTCCTCGTGGATCATGGGAGCACAGATGCTGGGCACTGGGCCGTGGAGCAGGTGTGGTACAACGGGAAGTTCTATGGGAGCCCAGAGGAACTGGCTCGGAAGTATGCAGATGGAGAGGTGGACGTGGTGGTCCTGGAGGACCCGCTGCCTGGGGGCAAGGGGCATGACAGCACAGAGGAGCCGCCCCTCTTCTCCTCCCACAAGCCCCGCGGGGACTTCCCCAGCCCCATCCATGTGAGCGGCCCCCGCTTGGTCCAGCCCCACGGCCCTCGCTTCAGGCTGGAGGGCAACGCTGTGCTCTACGGCGGCTGGAGCTTTGCCTTCCGGCTGCGCTCCTCCTCCGGGCTGCAGGTCCTGAACGTGCACTTCGGCGGAGAGCGCATTGCCTATGAGGTCAGCGTGCAAGAGGCAGTGGCGCTGTATGGAGGACACACACCTGCAGGCATGCAGACCAAGTACCTCGATGTCGGCTGGGGCCTGGGCAGCGTCACTCATGAGTTAGCCCCCGGCATCGACTGCCCGGAGACCGCCACCTTCCTGGACACTTTCCACTACTATGATGCCGATGACCCGGTCCATTATCCCCGAGCCCTCTGCCTCTTTGAAATGCCCACAGGGGTGCCCCTTCGGCGGCACTTTAATTCCAACTTTAAAGGTGGCTTCAACTTCTATGCGGGGCTGAAGGGCCAGGTGCTGGTGCTGCGGACAACTTCAACTGTCTACAATTATGATTACATTTGGGACTTTATCTTCTACCCCAACGGGGTGATGGAGGCCAAGATGCATGCCACTGGCTACGTCCACGCCACCTTCTACACCCCCGAGGGGCTGCGCCACGGCACTCGCCTGCACACCCACCTGATTGGCAACATACACACTCACTTGGTGCACTACCGCGTAGACCTGGATGTGGCAGGTAGGACTCAAAGCGAGACTCTCCCGTTCAAACATCTGCATCCAGCCAATAACTTAAACTCCCAGGAGACGGCACTATAACTCCCTGGTGGTGGAAAGTTAGGAGCATTTGCCAAGCCTGCTTCTGTAAAACCTAAAGCTAGAAATTTGTGTGTCCCTGAAAAATGGTGAAAGCGAACAGTGCCGAGGGTTGCCCTGGATGCAACAGTGTGGACCCTGTCCTGACCCTGGGGCTGTGCATGGGGCAAGGGAGGGGACGGTGCCTATGAGGGTAAGAAATGTCACTGTCTAGCGCTTTGAGATGGAGTGTAGTATTGTCTGGGAATATTCAGGGTGTCTCCTGGATGATATCACCATAAAAGAATGGCATGGGTAGAATAACTAATGCTGCCAGACCCAACAAGGCCACCAGGACCACACGGGCGGCTCCTACCCCTCAGCCCCAGTCACCTCTCTGGACAGAGCCTCCCATGCCTGGAGAAAAATGGGTGCCCCTGCTCTAGGATTGCAGCCACAGCAGATGGGCATGAGCACAGCTCTTGAGAGGAACTTCCCAGAGTGGTAATGGAATCACCACAGCCGCCCAGGGCATCCCCCAACATCCCGGTTATTCAAGACAGTTGGCTGTTGGATGTGGTGGAGGATGGAGATCCTGGGGTAGAATGAGGAGGTTTCAGTTCTGGCAGCTTGATTCTCGTTCTCCTTCTCCCTGCATACCTCCAGGCACCAAGAACAGCTTCCAGACACTGCAGATGAAGCTAGAAAACATCACCAACCCCTGGAGCCCAAGACACCGCGTGGTCCAGCCAACTCTGGAGCAGACGCAGTACTCCTGGGAGCGCCAGGCGGCCTTCCGCTTCAAAAGGAAGCTGCCTAAGTACCTGCTCTTTACCAGCCCCCAGGAGAACCCCTGGGGCCACAAGCGCACGTACCGCCTGCAGATCCACTCCATGGCCGACCAGGTGCTGCCCCCAGGCTGGCAGGAGGAGCAGGCCATCACCTGGGCAAGGTGAGGAAGACCCAGGGGGCCTGGGGGAGGGTCAGTGGCTTCCCTCAGTGTGTGTGTCTGTGTCTGTCTGTGTTTGTGTCTATGGGGTTCCTAGTCTATGTGGATATACACATATACGTATGTGTATATCTGTGTGTACAATTGACCCTGAACAATATGGGGGGTAGGGGTGCCAACCCCCCAAAGCAGTAAAGAAGCCAAGTGTAACTATGACTCCCCCACAACGTAACTACGAATAGCCTACTGTTAACCGGAAGCCTTACCACTAACAGAAACATTCCGTGAACACATATTTTGTAGGTTCTGTGTGTCAGATACTGTGTTCTTACAATAAAGTAAGCTAGAGAAAAGAAAATGTTATTAATAAAATCCTGGCCGGGCACGGTGGCTCACGCCTGTAATCCCAGCACTTTGGGAAGCTGAGGCAGACAGATCACGAGGTCAGGAGATCAAGACCATCCTGGCTAACACGGTGAAACCTCATCTCTACTAAAAACACAAAAAATTAGCTGGGCATGGTGGCAGGCACCTGTAGTCCCAGCTACTTGGGAGGCTGAGGCAGGAGAATGGCGTGAACCCGGGAGGCGGAGCTTGCAGTGAGCCGAGATCACACCACTGCACTCCAGTCTGGGCAACAGAGCAAGACTAGTTCTCAAAAAAAAAAAAAAAAAAATCCTAAGGAAAAGAAAATATATCTACAATCCATTAAGTGGGAGTGGCTCATCCCAAAGGTCTTTATCCTCGTCTCCTTCACTTTAAGTGGGCTGAGGAAGAGGAGGAGGAGGGGCTGGTCTTGCTGTCTCACGGTGGCAGAGGCGGAAGAAACTCCAAATGAAAGTGGACTTGTGTGCTGGGCGCAGGAGCTCACGCCTGTAATCCCAGCACTTTGGGAGGCCAAGGTGGGCAGATCACCTGAGGTCAGGAGTTCGAGACCAGCCTGGCCAACACAGCGAAACCCTGTCTCTACTAAAGATACAAAAGTTAGCCGGGTGTGGTCGTGGGCGCCTGTAATCCCAGCTACTCGGGAGGCTGAGGCAGGAGAATCACTTGAACCTGGGAGGCAGAGGTTGCAGTGAGCCAAGATCGCATCACTGCACTCCAGCCTGGGTGACAGAGCAAAACTCCATCAAAAAAAAAGAAAAAGAAAAGAAAAGAAGGAAGGAAAGAGAGAGAAAGAGGACCCATGCAGCTCACACCTGTGTTGTGCAAGGGTTGCCTGCTGTTCTGGGCCTGTGTCTCTGTGCATTTGGGGAGGGGGGCGGGGAGGACTCCTGTGGGTCACCTGAACCCGGTTAACAGCAGCCCGTCCTGCTGACTCCCAGGACAGATGATCTGTCATCTTGGGGAAGGCAATCATCTTCCTCTATTCTGACCCTGAGGCTGTTCCCTGGGCAGGACTGAGGGGGGCCAGCCCAGGGCCCTGAGCCAAGCTGCTTCGCCTGTGCCTGGCAGGTACCCCCTGGCAGTGACCAAGTACCGGGAGTCGGAGCTGTGCAGCAGCAGCATCTACCACCAGAACGACCCCTGGCACCCGCCCGTGGTCTTTGAGCAGTTTCTTCACAACAACGAGAACATTGAAAATGAGGTACTGCCCTGTCCCCAGCCCTGCCCGGTGCTGGCCCTGCCTCCTTCCAGCTCAGCCCAGGACCATCCTCATCACCATCAGGGAGTCCCAACCACCCTTTGCCCAGATCTGTCCCCAGTCGCAGGAGCTGTGCCTTGCTGTGTGGACGGCAAGTTCAGAGGTCACAACAGAGCTGCTCATCTCTTTAAAAAGGGGCTGGAGAGGAATTCAGCAAGTTTCCAGGCAGAACTGAAAATGACCAAAGGCTAGAGTGGCCTCCAGTGGTCAGTACTCAGCCCTGCCCACTGAAGCCCACCCTGTCTCCTGCAGGACCTGGTGGCCTGGGTGACGGTGGGCTTCCTGCACATCCCCCACTCAGAGGACATTCCCAACACAGCCACACCTGGGAACTCCGTGGGCTTCCTGCTCCGGCCATTCAACTTCTTCCCAGAGGACCCCTCCCTGGCATCCAGAGACACTGTGATCGTGTGGCCT
The DNA here is from genome assembly GCF_000001405.40 of Homo sapiens. Lineage (NCBI taxonomy): Eukaryota > Metazoa > Chordata > Mammalia > Primates > Hominidae > Homo > Homo sapiens. The sequence goes on from NC_000007.14 coordinate 150,861,108, forward strand.
CGGGACAACGGCCCCAACTACGTCCAGCGCTGGATCCCTGAGGACAGGGACTGCTCGATGCCTCCCCCTTTTAGCTACAATGGGACCTATAGACCTGTGTGACCAGCCCCCAGTTCCTCCCCCAGTTCCTCCCAGGAAGCCCAGGAGCCTCACTGGGGCAGACAATAAACCCTCAGAGCCTCGCTCTGTGTGCTGCTTCTTGCGGGGAGGCACAGGGCCATGTGTGTAGGAAACACACGAACAGACGTGCACACACACAGACGTGCACACACACACAGACATGCACACACACACAGACGTGCACACACACAGACGTGCACGCACTCACACGGACATGCACACACATGGCATGTACTTTATTCACACTGGTCTACTGCAGTCCAGAAAAGCCACCATTACTAACAAAAAGGAAGCTCGCTGAAATCCTGCACCTATCAGATTGTTTTTTTAAAATCTGAGACTGGCCAGGCACGGTGGCTCACGCTGGTAATCCCAGCACTTTGGGAGGCTGAGACGGGAGGATGGGAGGATCACTTGAGTCCAGGAGTTCAAGACCAGCCTGAGCAACACGCTAAACCCCATCTCTCCTAAAAAATACAAAAAAAATTAGCCAGGCAGGGCAGCATACGCCTGTAGTCCTGGGGCAGAGGGGGTTAGATAGGAAGATCTCTTGAGCTGAGAAGCCGAGATCACGCCACTGCACTCCAGCCTGGGCAACACAGACACAGTGAGACCCTGTCTCAAAAAAAAAAAAAAAAAAATCTGAGAGTGACAACTTTCTCTTGGGGAGGCTGCAAGGGAATTTCCCAGTGTCAGTGACAGGCTTGCAAAATGGCACAACCATAGAGAAGATGCTACAGGGAGATCTAGCAGGATCACCATGCCTTTATCCATTGGCACACTGGCCCAACCTCAGGGGGTTTATCCCCAAGATCCACCTGTAAACACAGGAACGACATATGTACAAAGTGATTCATTGCAGCATTGTTTGTAACAGCGAAAGTCTGGAAACAACCAAATTCTCATCTGTAGAAAACCCCAATTGAATGAACTGTGGCACAACCTCACAGTGCAATTCTAGCTGATTGTAAGAGAAACACACGAATGAGGATACTCTGTGTGCTGATAGGGCAAAACTTCAGGCCATAGCAAGTAAGAAAAGAGAAGAGGCATAGAATAATACAGACAGCATGCTAACTTTGCATGAGAAAGGACAGGAGTTTCCCTAGACTGGTCTCCATGTAGACGACAGGGAAGCATGGTGGATGAGAACAGGGATAGGAGCAGGCTTTCTTCATGGAAACCTTTCTATTGAGTTGTTAGGGGTTTTGTTGTTTTGTTTGCTTGCTTTTGGGGACAGAAGGGGAATGATGGAGAGGGCCGGGCCACGGGCTGGCCAGGTAGGGAGATAGAGGCTGGGGAGAAAGCAGAGTGGCCTGGCCAGACGCTATGGGGATGGGGATGGGGCAAGGAGGGTCTCCTCCCTCCCTCTGGAGCTGAGGGAGCCCCAAGTGTCCCGGCCATGGCACATGGCCCAGGAAAGCACTAACTGCAGAAACCCAGGTGCCACAGCCTCTCGCCCCAGTGCTATGTTATTTTTATTTTTGAATCGTGAGAATGTATTACCTATTCAAAAAACTGAAATCTAAATTTTACAAGAGGGAGGAAGGGAGGAAATGAGGGAGGGAAAGAGAGAAAGAAAAATGAAACTCTAATTGCTGATGTGTGGTACTATAGTAGCTGGCCAGGATGGATGGGGTAGATAGAATAATGCCCTCCACCCCCCACTAATGATGTCCACATCCTGATCCCTGGGACCTGTGGATCTGTTACCTTACATGCACTAGGAAGGAATTCTGTGGGCATGATTAAGGTAAGGATCTTGAGATGGGAAATTATCCTGGATCATCCAGGTGGGCTTGAGTAATCACAAGGCCCTTGTGAGCGGGAGACAGGAGAGAAGAGAGGAGAGAAGATGCCACACTGCCGGCTGTGAAGATGACAGAAGGGGCCACAAGCCAAGGAATGTAAGCGACCTCTAGAAACTGGAAAAGACAAGGAAACAGATTTTCCCCTAGAGCCTCCATTAGGAACAAGGCCCTGAAGACCTCAGATGGTAAGAGAATACAATGGTGTTGTTTGAGGCCACTAAGTTTGTGGTACTGTGTTTATAGCAGCCACAGGAGCTAATACAATGGATGTGGAGTTTTCTATCATGGGGAACCACTGACAGAGGAAAGCAGACAAGCGAACAGATGGGGGATCTCACACTGTCCCTCCCAGCCCTGCTCAGAGCTCAGTCACCCACAGCCAGCCGCAGAACCAGGAACCAGTGACAGGGAGGCAGGAACAGGGGAGTCAGGTCATGTGGGGCAGGGTCCTGGATCTTTTCAAACTGGACAATTCAATAGAACAGATTCCAGCCTTTCTCTCCCTCCAAGAAGACAGAAAGGAAGGGTGTGCGTGGTTTTGATAAACATTTCAAGGGGGTGCAGGACACCAGAGGCTCAGGGGCTCCTTTACACACTGAGATGTGGGTGTATGACTGTCATCACCCACCATACCAAGGGCAGCTAGAAGACCAAAGGCATTGCTTACTTTACCTGGGTGATTTTTCATAGTTGTTTGTTGGTGTTGTGCATTCAGCGGGCACTCAGCAGTCCTTGTTGAGTGACTAACGGCTGAGAGCCTCAGAAATACAAGCCTCAAGTCACATTCTCACTTCCCTGCCCTGTTGAGTCTTTGCACTTTGCCCCACATAATTATTCTGGCCATTCCTGTGGCCACCACAGTGCCATCTCCCAACACCATCCACCCCTAACAAGATGGCAGAAGGACCTGACTTCACCCCTGAGAAAGCAGCCCCAAGAATCCCAGGGCCCCTTCCCTTCCTCCCAGGCCCCATCTCTAATGGTCCTAACAGGTACTACTTTCCCCCTCCTCCCCTGAGGCCCCGGCTTCTACTTTTCAGCATTTCTCACTGTTCCTCCTTCCCTTAAGCAGAATGTAACTGGCCTGGGACACAAAGACAAGGAAGATGAAGTCCCCGACCTCAAGATGTCCACAGTCACAGGGGTGACAGCCCAGAGCGACAGACAGGGAGGGACAGACAGGGAAGCCTGAGGGCTCCTGTACCGAGGCGGGGATGTCCTCGGATGCTCATCCTCTGTTTCCTAATAAAAACTGGAAGTACTCAGAAGGCTGAAGCAGGAGGATTGCTTGAGCCTAGGAGTCCAAGCCTACAGCCTGGGCAACATTGCAAGACCCTACCTCTTAAAAAAAAATGCAAGCCTGGTCTAACCCTCAAGTAGGCAGAGCTTGGTCCCCGTGGACTCACTCAATGATTGTCCATGTGCGACTCTGCCATTCCCAAGCACATAGCCTCCCCAGGCCTGGAAGGTCAGCTCTGCCTGGGTGGTGAATTCTCCCTGAGCACCACGTACACTCACGTGAGAGGGCTACTGTCCCTGTTGTCTGACCCTCCTCAACAGGGAGAACTGAGAGCAGCAGGTATTCCCCACCCAAGTCCCAACTATGACCCAAGAGTGGGAGACCCAGAAGACAGGCAGTTCAGGAATCTCCATGATCAGCCTGGCTCACCTCTGAAAACTCGGATGCCCCAAGAATCCCTGAGTGGAGATGGACGGCATGGCCCAGGCAGCCAGTGGGCCTTCCCTGAGAGTGACTGACCAGCACTCATAGGGCATAAATAGGACAAGGTCTCTGTTAGCTGGTGGAGCTCAGTAAGAGTGATGTCAACCAAGAAGTCCTGGGGCTTGGAGTTGTTTCATCAAGACTGCTGGTGGCCTCTGCCTAAACCTCCAGTTGGGCCAGTGGACCAAGCCCTCCACAACCTGCCCCTCTACCTTTGGGAGCCTTTAAACCTTTCCTCTTAAGCTCCCTGCAGAACCATTCCCTCTGTCCCTTCAATGTAGGAGGAGACCTCAGCTAACATCTAACCCAGAGCTCACTCTGATGCAGACCCCTGCACGCCAGGACCGGCACATAGCTTGTGGGCCTCAAATGATAATGCAAGCCCTTGTTTCAAAATTATTAAGAATTTAAAGGTGTTGACAGCAGAGAGTGAAACCCCAGGCTAAGATACCAGCCCCAAGGAGCTGGTCCTGCCGTCTGCTCCCACTACCCACCTCGGCCATGGCCCTGAGGTGGCAGCTATTTCCTGGGCTGTGTTTCTAATAGTAATGCATTGCAGCAAGAGAGCACATAATCTTCTCCTCAAAGCATGTTCTGCTTCTCAAAAGCAAATAAATATGTATTAAATCAATATGCCAGTTATAGTAAATGTTTCATTTACCACCAAATTCAAGCTTATGCAAATTAGAGCAATTGCACACTTAACCCTAAGTTATCTTGGCAGTAAACATTTTTACAAAAAATACGTGATTAGCTAAATGCTTTTCTCAACTGTAAGTTCCTGAGGGACTAATCCTAAACTCTTGGCCAACTACGAGCTGTTTCTCAGAACATATATACTAATTGTCTCATTAATCTCTCCTCTTAATTTGCTGTGCCTCTCCCAGTTAGGGGGAGACATTCATAATTTTTGGTCATACATTTGGTAATTGACCTGCTACTTTGGACTGCATGGATTCCCCATCCTGGGGCCACTTCAAGGTGGCTACATCCCATAACCTGGAATTTCTAATGGCTAAGGCCAGGATGAACCTGATATCTCATGAAAACATATCAGGTGTATAAAGACAAAATACCATTTGACCCAGCAATCTCATTACTGGGTGTATGCCCAAAGGAATATAAATCATTCTATTATAAAGACACATGCACACCTATGTTCACTGCAGCACTATTCACAATAGAAAAGACATGGAATTGGCCAGGTGCAGTGGCTCACACCTGTAATCCCAGTACTTTGGAGGGGCCAAGGCGGGCAGATCACAAGGTCAGGAATTTGAGACCAGCCTGGCCAATATGGTAAAACCCCATCTCTACTAAAAATATAAAAATTATCCAGGCGTGGTGGCAGGTGCCTGTAGTCCCAGCTACTTGGGAGGCTGAGGCAGGAGAATCGCTTGAACCCAGGAGGCGGAGGTTGCAGTGAGCCGAGATCACGCCACTGCACTCCAATCTGGGCGACAGACATGGAATCAACCTAAATACCCATCAGTGATAGACTGGATGAAGAAAATGTGATATATATACACCATGGAATACTAGTCTGCCATAAAAAAAGAATGAGATCATGTCCTTTGCAGGGATACAGATGGAGCTGGAGGCCATTATCTTTAGCAAACTAACACAGGAAACCAAAATACCTTATGTTCTCACTTATAAGTGGGAGCTAAATGATGAGAACGCATAGAGGAGAACAACACACACTGAGGCCTGTTGGAGAGTGGAGGGTGGGAGGAGGGACAGGACCATGAAAAATAATAATGGGTACTAAGCTTAATACGTGGGTGATGAAATAATCTGTGTAACAAACCCCCATGATGCAAGTTTACCTATGAAACAAACCTGCACATGCACTGTGAACTTAAAAGTTAAAAAAAAAAAAATATTAGGTGTAGATGTCTGATCCAAGAACTTAGTCAGGATGTTAAAAGGTTGCCTGCTAAACCCTCATGCTTATTTGCTAGAGCATCCAAGGATTGGTTTGCAAAACTCACAAGATCCCCCGTCACTGCCTGAGAGCTGATTCCACGTTACAGTTATCCATTGCTACATAACAAGCCACCTCAACTCAGTGGCACAAAACAACAACTATTTTATTATGCTCATGAACTCAATGGGACAAGGATTCCGACAGGACACCCTGGAGATGGCTTCTCTCTGATCCATGATGTCTGGGGCTTCAGCTGGGAGGACTCGGAAGCTGATAGCATCTTGGATGCTAATACTGGAGGCAGCAATTGTCTGGCAGCTTTTTCCCTTACATGTCTGGCATCTGGACTGGTCTGTGCTCAACTAGAACTGTAGACCAAGCACCTATGTGTGGTCTCCCCACGGGGCTGGGGCTTCCTCACAGCATAGTGGTCTCAAGTAATCAGACTCTTGCATGGAGGCTCAGGGCTTCAAGATGGGTGTTCTCACACACAAGAAGGAAGCCGCATGCCTTTTATGACCTAACTTCAGAAATCCCATGACTATTTCTGCCATACTCTATTGGTCAGTGGTCACCATTGCACCCAAATGGAAAGGAAGAAGACATAGACCCCACATCTCAATGGGAGGACCAGCAAAAAAGTGAGAGGGGCCATGGTTCAGAACTGCCACTCCATGACTCATTTCCTTTATAGTAAAGGCAGCTCTACCTCTGCTGAAGCTGCAATCATGTTTCAAAAGTCTTTGGTTCCAGCCTCCGAAGTTTTCTACACCTTGGAGCAGTGTCTCCAGTTTACCTTCCACTTTAGAAACTCCTTATATTCTGCTGTCAAGGTAAAAATGTTCTCCTTTCACCACAATATCCATATTTGCCAGCAAAACAGAACATGCTCTTGATGGAAAACAGCTTTCCTCTCTCATCCTAGTTTTGATCATTAAGCTGCCTGTAGTGGCTGTGTCACAAAAGATTCCGAATTCACAACCAGGCTCAGTAAATAACAACGCCATAGTGAATTCGAAACCTCTGCTGTGGTGTGGGAGGAGAGAGTGGTATATGTATGTCCTGTTCTTGTCATTTCAGAAAGGCACCAGCCTTATTATCAAATATGACCTCCAGCGATGCATCAGGACTACTCAGCCCTGCAGCAGAGTCTTCTTTCACAGTGTCATAGCCTCACTCATTAGAATGTGTGAACACGCATTCACAACTTACATGTCTGTGATGACTCAACTCTTTCATTCATTCAACGAACACTTAACTAAATGGCTATGGATTAGATCCTGCTGTAGGTTTTGGGGATACGAAGATGAAAGACATAGTCTCTGGTTTCTAGAAGCTTGTTTTTCTGTAAGAAAAAGTCACGTAAAGAATAACTCAAGAATAATGGAGAAAGTCCCTCCTAATTCATTCAAGGAAAGTCACAGAAAACTTTAAAAAGGAAGTAGAGTTTGAGCTTTAACATCAACTGAAGGGAGAAGGACATTCTGGACAGCGGTCTGCACAGAGGCACCGAGCTATCCCAGGGACATCAAGTGCCCCATATTCTGTGGTTCCTGAAGTGTCTGCTGTCCTAGAAGAACCACATGCAGCACAGACTGACCACCCAACTGTGGTCCAGCTGGATAAGGCCACTTGCAGGTGACAATCCAAGAAACAGGACCCCAAAAAAGAGACTGGAAGCTACCCTAAATCCAATTCCTTGCACACTGCTCCAAAACCTCAGGGGATTATTTAATCTACCTCCTTTCCAGTCACCCTGGTCATAGACCTTGTTGCTTTCTAGTGACAGTGACCATGCACCCCGAAGATTTGCTCAGCCTCTCAGTGGCCCCTCAGCTCCCACCCACAAATCAGAGGCTGAAATTCACCCATGGCCACCCTGCTTATTCCCAGTTCTAATGAAAGAGGAGTTTCTGGATATTACCAGACAATGCTTCCACCACAATGGGATTTAATAATCAAGAACTGGCAGCAGTGCACATCCAAAGGCTGGGCCTCAAAGCAGATCTGTGACATCAAGGCCTCGCTCCTCTCCCTGTGGCCCGACCCTGTTGGGAAGGGGGAAATTGTCAAAAACCACACAACCTTCCAACCACACTGCAACAGGGCTCCTTCACAACTAGGAGGAAAAGCCCCAGGCCACAACATTCAAAAGCCCCTGTGCTTCCCACCAGCTTCGGTGGAATGAGCCTTCCCTGTCCATCCCCAAGAGCACTTGTCCACTCTTGTTCCTGTGTTCCTACTGCCCCTAGTTCTCACCCCGTTGCCCTCTGTTGATTTGTGATGCTTATTTCTCAGCATCCATTTCTATGTTTTCTTTGCTGCCCTTCTCTATCCCAGCAGTGTCAACCCTGGCTGTGCACCAGAGTCACCTAGAGAGGCTTCTTAAGGATCCCAGTGTTGTGCTGCTTCGTGCCACACCAGTCATATCAGAATATCCAAGGGTGGTCCTGAATACTGTGTTTTTGGGAAGCTCTAAAGATCATTCTGAGAGAGGAGCCAGGTTTGAAAACACCACTTTTTTTTTTTTTTTTTTTTTTTTGGTTTTTTTTTAGACAGAGTCTCACTCTCATTGCCCAGGCTGGAGTGCAATGATGCGATCTTGGCTCACTGCAACCTCCGCCTGCCGGGTTCAAGCGATTCTCCTACCTCAGTCTCCCGAATAGCTGGGATTACAGGCACTTGCTATCATGCCTGGCTATACTCTTAACGTGTACAAAAAAACTTGTTTCTTGTCCCTTCTCTGAGCCCAGAGCAATAGTTTAGGATGTCAATAGCTGAGTTTGATGGTGACATTTAACAGTAGTGTTGTAACAGGTGTTTAAGCTCTAAGACCAATCATAGAGCTTGTGCACTTGAGCTCAGAAAAGTTACAGACAGTAAGGGACATCCTAAAGATCCAGGAAAGGCTGGAATTTGTCCCCTCTCTCTGTGTCACTGTGAATGACCTGTGTTCTATTGACTTGCTGCTGCCCACGCAGGATCTGGACTAGGTTTTCTAGTTGGGTTTCAAAGTATTTGCCCCAAGGCCAGGTGCAGTGGCTCATGCCTGTAATCCCAGAACTTCAGGAGGCTCAGGCATGCAGATAGCTTGAGCCCAGGAGTTTGAGACCAGCCTAGGCAACATGACAAGACCCAGTCTCTACAAAAAATACAAAAATTAGCTGCGTTGGTGGTGCATGCATGTAGTCCCAGCTACTTGGGAGGCTGAGGTGGGAGGATTGCTTGAGCCCGGGAGGCAGAGGTTACAGTGAGCCGTGATTGTACTACTGCACTCCAGCCTGAGCAACAGAGTGAGACCTTGTATCAAAAAAAGGTCTTTGCCCCAGCCATGATCCTAACCCAGCATCCCAATATCACCACAGCCTTCACTGAGCCCCTGCTGAGATGGAAACTTGTCCCCAAGAAAGGAAGTATGGAAATAAGTAGGAGGTAGGGGGGAACTGAGAGCACAGCCTGAATATTCTGAGTTCCCTGTAGCTGCTGGCCTGGCTGTACATTGAGAGGCAATACAGATACAGGTGATGGTTTAAAGGATAGCTCAGGAATCACTCAGATCTCTGTCTCCCTCTTCACATGGCTGGCTTGCCTGGGTGTCTCTGTGTCTTTGCATTTCTCCTTTTATAAGGACACTAGTCATTGGGTTTAGGGCCCACCCTACTCCAGTAGGACCTCATTTTAACTCAATTACATCTGCAAGACTCTAATTCCAAATAAGGTTACGTTCATGGGAACTGGGGATTAGGACTCAAATATATCTTTTGAGGGGGTCACAATTTAGCTCACAATACAAATCTTTTCTATATCTCTACATTTCAGGGAAAGAAATGGACACAGAATTCTAGACAGTCTCACCAGGACTGAGAACAGCCATTTCCCAAGTCACTGGACTCATGGGAAATATGATGGACACTTCCTTAACCTCTATTATATTTCCCTCCTAATGTATCTTCCTGTTCTGCAGCAACTAGAAAGTTAAACTCTCCATTTCCCAGATTGTTTTATATCTAAAGCTCTGTATAGAATTAGTTTCTACCAATCAGGAGCATTTGAGCAAGATCTGGAAGATGAAAGGGATACTGAAACTGCCTTTCTGCCCTTGATGCTGCTGTGTTTGCAGGCGAGGTCAAGGAGTGGCAACAGCATTCCAGTCCCCAGCTTCCCAGGCCTAGAAAGGCAGGGACTGGCAGAATGATCATGCACTTGTGTGTGCTGCAGGGCCCATTCTCCTAGGAACCTGGCCTCCCAACTTGGCCTCCCAACACTTTAGGAAGCTGAAGCAGGAAGATCGCTTAGCCCAGGAGTTTGAGATCAACCTGATCAAAATAAAGAGAACTTGTCGCTTCAAAAAAAAAAATAAAAAGGTTTTTTTTAATTAGCCAGGCATGGTTGTGCACACCTATAGTCTCAACTGCTTGGGAGGCTGAGGCAGAGAATGGCTTGAGCCCAGAAGTTCAAGGCTGCAGTGGAGCCATGATCACACCACTGCACTGCAGCCTGGGTGACAGAGTGAGACCCTGTCTCAGAATAAATACATTAATTAAATAAAACCTCACATATAGAGTTGACTTTTGATGAGATTACCAAAACAATTCAATAGCAAAATAGACTTTCAACAAACAGTGCTGGGACAACTGGATATACACATGTAAAAGAATGAAACCGGAACCCTAGTATTTATCATATATAAAAATTATCTCAAAATGAATCAAAGACCTAAATGTAACAGCTAAAACTCTTAGAATAAAATGTAAGCATAAATCTTCACGACCTTGCCAATTTTAGGCAATGATTTCTGAGATATAACATCAAATGCCCAAGCAACAAAAGAAAAAAATGATAAAATAAACTTCATCAAAATGTAGAAACCTTTGTGCTTCAAAGGATATCATTAAGAAAATGAAAAGACAACCCACAGAATGGGAGAAAATACTTGCAAATCATATATCTGATATGGGTAACCCAATTTAAAAATGGGCAAAGGATCTGAACAGACATTTCTCCAAGGAAGATACATAGTAACCAATATCACATGAAAAGTTGCTCAACATCATTAGTCATAAGGGAAATGCAAATCAAAACCACAATGGGATACCACTTCATCCCCACCAGGATGGCTGTAATCAGAAAGACAGATAACAACAAGTGTTGGTGAGGATGTGGTGAAATTATAAACTTCATACATTGCTGGTGGGAATATAAAATAGTGCAGCTACTTTGGAAAACAGTCTGGCAGTTCTTCAAAAGGTTAGACAGACTACTATAGAATACAGAAATTTCACCCCAGGTATGTGTCCAAGAAATATGAAAATGTGTCCATACAAAAAGTTGTACATGAATGTTTATAGCAGCATTATTTATAATAGTCAAAAAGTTGAAACAAAACAAATATCCAATAACTGATGATTAAATAAACAAAATGTCATATATCCATACAATGGAATATCATTCTGCAATAAGGAAAAATGAAATATTGATACATGCTACAACATGGATGTACCTTGAAAACATTAGCTAAATGAAAGAAGACAAATGCAAAAGACCATGTAGTATATGATTCTACTTATTTGAAGTGTTCATAATATACAAATCCATAGAGGCAGAAAGTAGATTAGTGGTTGCCATGGTCTGGGAGGATTGGGGAGAATTGGATATAGAGTTTCTTTTAGAGGTAATGAAAACATTCTAAAATTGGTTGTGACAATAGATTTAATAAATCTATAAATTGTATAGTATGTGAATTGTATATCAATAAAGCTGTGATATTTTAAAAAGGATATGTTTCAGTATTTGCTGTTAAGTGATAAAGGCAAGTCACAGAATAATAAACATTGTAGAATTCTATTTATATAAACAAAAAACACACTTCCATATGTGTTTTAATGTTTTATGAACATTTACTCATATATTGTTTTTGTAATCTTTAAAAAATTTAATTACAAAAATGTAGCCATCCTAATATATAACAAAATAGAATTCATAGCCAGGAAATATCAAAAGAGATAGAGATATGTTATATCTATAGATGAAAAGAAACTCAAGAAGCATATCAGCTAATTCTAAGGTATGAATCTCATTAGGATCCTAATTTAAGTAAAGAGAATAGAAATATTTATAAGACAATTGGAAAATTAGAACACTGGATATTTGATGGTATTAAGAAATTATTGTTAATTCTTTAGGTTTGATAGGGTATTATGATTATGCTTAAAAAGAATTCCTTATCTTTTATAGATAGATGCTAGTGTATTTACTTTTTAAATGATATTATGTTTGCCATTACCTCAAAATAATCCAGTAGAAGGGGTGTGGAAGAGTTTGTGTAGTATGGATAAAATAAGAGTAGCCATGAGTAGTTGAAGCTGGATGATGGATTTGAGAGGGTTCATTATATCCTTCTCTCTACTTCTGTATCAGCTTGAAAGAGGTATAGTATATCTTGATGAAAGAAACAATAGACAAAGAAGATACAACATGCATAACATATATGCATCTAACAACATAATCTCAAGCAAGAAGAAGAAAACCAACAACATTGCTGATTTTAGTACATAAATCTCAGAACTGATAGATCAAGTAGACAAAAAAAGCAAAGACATAGATTATCTAAATAAGACATTTAATAAACTCATATTTGTATATAACCCTCCACAAACCAAAGAATGCATGTGTATATTGTGTACATATAACATTCACATAAACTGACCAAATAATGATTTTAAAAGAAGTCTCAAATTCTAAAGAATTGAAAGCATACAGACCATGTTCTGAGACCATAATGTAATGAAATATATGAATAAATAAATAAAAAAACCGTGCTCTTTGATAGTATGGCTTAACATTGTAAAGATATCCATCCTCCTCAAATGTTTTTTATAATTCCAATCCCAATCAAAATCCCAACCAGAATTTTTTAGGGGTTAATGAATTTATTCTAAAACATATGAAAAATGGGTTCACAAATGGTGAAATCATTTTTCAGAAAGAAGGACAAAGAAGTGAGACTGGTCCCATCAAATATTAAGTTACACTATAAAGCCATGGAAATTTTTTTAATCATGGTATTGGCTCAAGAGTAGACCAACAGACCAACAGAACCAAAAAGAGCTCAGAGACTCATGAATATAAGGGAATTACGAAGAAACAGGAAAAAACTGACTGTTTAGTAGGTTATAGTGGGGAAAAGCTCCCATAATATGGAGAAAAATAAAACTGCATCCTTACCTGATATAATATACAATGAACTTCAGCAAGAGTAAGAATCTATACATAAACAGTGAAACTAAAAATGTAGGAAAATATTTGTGACCTAAAGGTGGAAATTTTCTTAAACAAGACCTAAAAATCATAAACCACAAGGTAAAAAAATATGTAGATTTGATTTCATTAATATTACAGGTTTCTATTCAACAAAGGAATCCATAGTCAAAGTTGAGAGGGAGAAGATACTTTCAACATCTCAAACTGACAAAGAATTCATAATTAGAATATATAGGAAACTTCTGCAAATCTGTAAGTAAAAGTCAGAAACCCATTCTATAAATGGCAAAGTATAGAAGCAAGTAATTCATAGAAAAAACAAATTAATAACAAATATATCAAGAGATTATCAAAATTAGAAAATTATCTAGTGCCAAATATAAGCAGGGCTTTCAGAAACACAAACATGGGTCTAAGGTGGGTTTTGTGCCTTTGGAAATGTGGACTGATGAAGCCTCTCTGTAACATAGCCTGCATGTACTTGGTGAAATTGAACATACATACATCCTATGACTCAGAAAGCCCACTACAAATTATACCTAATTGAAAGAAATTCTCCCCCAGGACTATGAAGGGATGAGAACAAGGATGTTCGTCATAGCATTTGTCATGGCAGTGGGAGTTGGAGGCAAATTCAGTATCCATCCTTGGAGGAATGGATGAGTCAAATGGACTGAATGTACACCATGAAGTACCAAGAAACATGCTGTACTTGTTGGGTTCTCAAGGAAGCAGACACTGAGATGCTGAAATGGAGTTAGATTTATTGTGGAGCTAACACCTGGGAAAGAAAAGGAAAAGAGGCCAGAACTAAGATGGCCTGAGGAAGGAATCCTGTAGGGGGTAGAGATGGTCCAGACTTTGAACTGCCACTCGGCTCAGTCATTGACTGGGGACCACCCAGAGAAGAGCAGAGCCTCACTCAAAAGCTAAGATAGACCCTGAAGAATCTAACAGCTTGAGCCATCAGCTGACCCCACACACACATGCACACACACAAGCACGCACGCACACACGTGCACACACACACACGCACACACACACATGCACACACACTCTCACACACACACGCACACGCACACACACACAAACAGCCATTGGGGAAATCCAAATTAAAGCCACATTGAGATGTCTCTACACACAAATTAGGAAAGTTAAATTTAAAAATGGTGATAATACCAAATGCTGGAGAGGTTGCAGAGAAACTGAATCTCTTACACATTGCTGATGTAAATGAAAACATACTTTGTTAGCTTATAAAACTAAACACTCACTTACCGTATTACCCTGCAATGACATTTCTGGGCACTTATCCCAGAGGGATGAAAACTTACATTCAAACAAAAGCCTGTACGCTAATGTTCATAGTAGCTTTACTTATAACAGCATAGGAAACAGCCCAGATGTCTCTCAGTGGATAAATGGTTTAACGAACTCTGTCACAATAAAATACTATTCAGTCATGAAAAGGAATGAACGATTGATATATGCAACAACCAGCACAGACATCGCTAAGCATATGCTTAGTGGCGGAGAAAGCCAAACTCCAAATGTCACATGCAGTATGATTTCACTCGGATAGCATTCCCAAAATAAGAAAACAACAGAGATGGAGAAAAGGTTAGGGATTTCCAGGGGATGGGGATGGATTGGGGTGGTGGCATGGATGTTAATAAAAAGAGGTAGCAAGAGGGAGTTCTTTTGTGGTGTTGGAGCAGTTCTGCATCTTGACTGAGGCGCTGCTTACACAAATCCACACCTGACAAAAACACCTGACATAAACTTGCATAGAACTGTATGCACACACAAAACCACACACACAGAGAGAGACAGAGAGAGAGACAGAGAGAGAGAGAGATGAATGCAGGTTTAAAAGCAGTGAACACCGAATAACTTCTGTAGCCTAGTTAATAGTAGTGTGTACCTATGTGGATTTTCTGGTTTTGACATTGTACTCCAGTTATCTGTGTCTTAGTCCATTGAGGGTGTTATAACCAAACACGTAGCTAGGTGGCCTATAAACAACATAAGTTAATTTCTCACAGTTCTGGAGGCTGGAAGTCCAAGATCAAGGCCCTGGCAGCTTCAGTGTCTGGGGAGGGCCTGCTTCCTGGTGCATGGACTGGCCATCTTCCCACTGCGTCCTCACATGGTGGAAGGGACAAGAGAGTTTTCTGCGGTCTTTTTTTTTTTTTATAAGGGCATTAATCTCATTTGTGAGGGCACTGCCCTTGTGACCTAATCACCTTCCAAAGGCCCCATCTCCTAATGCTACCACTATGGAGATTAAGATTTCAACACATGAATTTGAGGGAGACATACTCAGTCCATTGCAAGATGTCACCATTAGAGAAATCCAGTTGAAGGTTCACAGAACTCCGTACTCTTTTTGCTACCTCTTGTGAGTTTATAATTACGCCAAAACTAAAAAGCTTTCTTAAAAATATATATACAAATTCTCAAGTAAAATATAGTAAACTTGTTACTTTTTCAGGTATTTGATGCCTTTATCTGTAAATTCTTTCAAAGGAAATATGGCATGAACAAATATTGAGACAGGGATGTTTCACCAACTCTCAACTCCCCTTATTCAAGGGTTGGATCATAATAACTACATCTAAGTAATCCAGAAATTATCATTTTACTGAAAACCACGAAGACTATGTAGATGGAGAGAGATGAAAGAAGTACTATTTTTAAATCTGCAGCTTTATATCAATATACATAAATACATACCAGATAACCATATTTTATAAGAATACATATATATTCAAGGGTATATGTCAAATTTTAAAAAGAAAGGGGATTTGGCGTGGTCCTATCATTATGAAAGGGGATTCGGCGTGTTCCTGTCCTTATTTTACTCATCATGTCATCCCCTATCGTCTACCAGGCGTCCAGGCGCTGAGGACCAACCTTCTCTTCCTCCTCTGGCTAAGAAAACAATCAGCTTTCCCAGAGCCACCGCTGTCTGGACGCTAGATGGCGCCGCTGAGCTCCCCCCACCCCCCGCCTTTCCCCCACCCCCCCGCCTCCTCCCCACCACCCCGCCCACACCTGCGGTTCCTGCAGAGGGGTTGCTCAGGTGACCGGGCCGTTTGGACCACTTGGTTCAAATTCAGGATCCAGGTAGATGCAGCTGGGGAAAGCAGGGAGGAATGGGAGGCTACAGACAGAATGACCACATGCGTGCCTTCCTGCAGGGCTTGTCTTCTCCAAAGCCCCTGGTCAGTCACATGTTTTACTTGGCTCCCTTCCTTCTTCCTCGCCTTCTCCAGACCCTCTAAGCATGTGCCTTTGTCTCTTCCCAAACCTCCTGAGTCGCCTGAGGCCCTCTGGTGGTTCAATTCTTTATTGGAAGAACAAGCAACATGTTTACCCCAAGGGTTTCCACGGAGAAATACAAACACGTCTATTATTGGCAAGAAAAGCAGCACTGATTTGTTGAAGAACTAGGGAATTGTTCTAATTCTGCAGATTAGTCTCTTCTTGTCTTTGGTTGAAGTAACACAACCATCTCCATAGAGGTTCCTAAGCATAGAGGAAGATTGTATTGTAACAATACAAGGCTGCCGTAACTATGTAATTGGCCATAATTGAAGACAAGAATGGTGGGAAGTATGGGTTTGCAATTACCTAATATTCCTGTCCTAACCCATTTCAGGAGATCTTGCTGCGAGGTGCATGTTACCCATATAACAGACCCTGGGAGTATACCCAGGAGCAGTGGTGCGGATCACAGAAGGGGCTTTAAGACGCCCCTGGTGTTCTATGGCCATTAGCTACCAGTAGGAGCAGCTGCACCCCTGGCTGACCACAGATGTGGCTGTCAAACACAGTGAGTTAACAAAGGACAGTGAAACAGGGGGACGTGCAAGTCAGAGGAGATGCCTGCTTCCTCCTAGATCCCCACCATTTTCCTGGCTTTCTACTCTATTCCCAAAAAGAAGACACACTGGGGTAGAGGGCTGAGGGGAATAATTCAGTCCACAGATGCAGTTTTCTCTCTTTTTGCTACCATGGTTCTGAATGAAGAGCTAATATTATACTATTCCCACCTGTGATGAGCCCCAGTCCTTTTGATTCTTTTTCTTCTTCATCATCCATCCAAACGTCCCCAAGTGGTAAACAGGCCAGCAAACCTGTTATCCTCTCTTCTGTCCCTTCCACACATGTTTTAGCTTTAGTGGAAGCTCACAGAATAACCCTCAATTATCTGTTGTGGTCTGTGGCATTACCTTCTTAAAGGAAAGCTGATGGGTTCTTTCAACAGGTTTGGGGTCCACTCCCAGCTAACAATTAGTGTGACCTTAGCCGAGCACAGTGTCTCACGCCTGTTATCCCAGCACTTTGGGAGGCCGAGGCGGGTGGATCACGAGGTCGGAGATCAAGACCATCCTGGCTAACATGGTGAAACCCCATCTCCACGAAAAATAGAAAAGAAAATTAGCTGGGCGTGGTGGCGGGCGCCTGTAGTCCCAGCAACTCATGAGGCTGAGGCAGGAGAATGGTGTGAATCAGGGAGGCTGAGCTTGCAGTGAGCCGACATCGCGCCACTGCAGTCCAGCCTGGGTGACAGAGCAAGACTCCATCTCAAAAAAAATTGTGTGACCTTGTTTTCCTTTACCATTGTTTCTAGTTGCCCAGGAATCTAGTGGGAAGATGTGGCTATGGTCTGGGGCAGGATATTTTGGGAAGCCTGGTGTCCAGGGATATTAGGCAAACAAACTTTTGCATTGCACTTAATATTTCAGAAACCCAGCTGAATAGCTCTTATTTTTATGGCACTAAGAAAGTAAATCTTAAATCTTTGCTCTTAACACCATTAAGACAAAATTATTATGAAAATTGGACAAAGTGCCTTATAGCAGCTGATATATTTAAAACATCAATGATTGTACCCTTAGCATTGTTTTATTTTTATTTTTTAAAATTATCTAAACATTGTTTCAAAGCTTGTGAAACTACTAAAAGACAAAGGATTGTAAATGTCAATGAAAGGAAAAGTAAAACAGCAAGTATTTTAGCATACGGGGGCAATCAAGTCATAAAGAAAAAGGGTTAGTAGCTCACTAGACAATAAATTATTATAAAGAAGAGCCAAGAAAAGTATTGCTTTGAAACTTTTTACTTTTAACCTTCAGCCTTACTGAAGAATTTGTTCACTATACTTTAAAAATTTATTATTCTGATCATATTTTCCTTGATTTAAGAGTAGTGTCTTCAACATTAGCTGATATACCTACTAATAGCATCCCACGTCCTACCATCATTTCTTACATCTGACATCTTCTGCTGTTGATCCATAGGTTAACAAAACAAAACAGAAACTACACACAGAAAGAAAAAGAAAGGGAAGAAAGAAAAAAGAAGGAAGAGAAAAAAGCAGAGACCACTTCCAGAATGATTGTATGAGGAGCTCTGCAGACCTGCTCCCCAGCAAAACACTTATATCTAGTTAAATGATTTTTAAGCATTTAAAGTCTCTGGAAATTGTTCCCAATAAGAACAATGAGAATCTATGACACTTGAGCCATGACTCACTTCCTCTCTCCTCCATCCCCCCAACTCACTTAACAGAAGCTCCACTCTTCATGGACTTAGCCAGGAAAACACAGCTCCCTCTCCATCCAGCTCCCAGTCAAGCAATACAATGGCTCCCCAGAAGAGGCAGGCCACCAGAATTCCTCAGCCCCCATTTTGCACAGGCTAAATTGTAGATGAGTGCAGCTGAGAGAATGGAAGCTTCTCTCCTCCACCCAGTCCCCACTCATAGGTGGAGACTACCCCAGGTGATGCAGGCTGAAATTACTGAAGCCCCAATTGCGTTTGGATCAGAGGTTCCATGCTACAACAGCAACCTGAGAAGACAAGAGGCTACTGCCACCACGCAGAGCCCTGCTCTGTAAAGCAGGAGGGCTCTGAGAGAAGCCAGCCACAGCCCCTACCCCCAGGTCTTGAGCAGTGACTCAAAGATTTTGCCCAAAGGAAGAGGTAGATCATAAGAACAGAGAGCACTGAAGCTCTCCCCCGACCCCCCAAGAAACTAACTTGATTTAAAACAGGATGTAGAGAAGTTCAAGCATAAGGGAACTCGCAAAAACAATGGAGATTTTGGTGGTAAACAATAAAGATAATGGGATAAACTATATGCCAGCCAGTTTACCAGAGAAAACAAAACAAATAGCTAAGAAGAGTCCTTCCACTGTCTGAACAAACCCCAAAGACTGGACTCAAAACAATCCTACAAAGGGACCCAAATTTATCTGGATCATACTGTGAAGCATTGCATACTCCAGGCATTGTAGAAAAACAATAGAAAATCAGCCAGTAATTAGTGTACCCTGACAGCTGGGTGTGATGCCAACAGAGACTGATGGCTTAGCAAAGAGATCAGGAAATGAGAAAATTAAAGAGAGGCCGGTTAAAACTTCTGTCACCCCAGATGACTGACTGTACATGTACCTAAGGCTGTGCCCTCTGAGGAGTGAAATCAGAGGCTTCACATTATGGGGAAATACACTTCACAAAATAGTCAAGCAAAGTCACTAAACAAATAAGCCAAAAACAACAAGAAGCCTTGGCCAGGAGTAAGGAGTACGTGGAGGGGAGGGCAGCATCAGTATCCAGAGTTGCTCCAATATATTATCTAAAATATGTTATCTAAAATGATCAGCTTTTAACAACAAAGCATTATGAGACATGCAAAGAAACAGAAAAGTATAACCCACAGAATAAAAAAACCCGGCAACAAAAACTCTGTGAGAGGGCCCAGATGGGGGAATTAACAGAGACATCAAAGCAGCTGTTATAAATATGGTCAAAGTACTAAAGGAAACTATGCTTAAAGAAGTGAATAAGGTTATGACAATGTCCACTCAAATAGAGAATATTAATATAAAAACAGAAAGTATTTTTTAAAAGAACCAAATGGAAATTCTGGAGTTGAGAAATATAATAACTAAAATGAAGAATTTGCTAGAGGAGCTGAGTAGTGGATTTGAACTGGAAGAAGAAAAAATCAGCAAACTTGAATACAGATCAATAAAGATTATGCAATTTGAAAAGCAGAGAGAAAAAAAGCAGAAAGAAAAATGAACAGAGCCTCAGAGAAATGTGTGACATTATTAAGTGTACCAAATATGCAAAATGGGAGTAACTGAAGGAGGAAGAGAGAGAAGAAAACAGAAAAAAAAATCTAAGAAATAATGCCTGAAAACTTCCCAAATATGATGGAAAACATTAATCCACATGTTCAAGAAGCTCAACAAGCTTCAATTAGGAGAAACAAAAACAGATTTAACCCAGACACATCATCTTAAAAATGTTGAAAGCCAAAGACATAAAGAAAATATTGAAATCACCGAGAGAAAAATACTAGTCACATACAAGGGAACCCCAATGAGATTAACAATTGACTTTTCATCAGAAATAATGGAGGCCAGAGGCACTGAGATAACATATTTAAAGTGCTGAAAGAAAAAAAACTGTCAAGCAAGAATCTTATATCCAGCAATATTGTTTTTTTAAAAATGAAAGTAAAATAAAACCATTCTTAGATAAACAAAAACTAAGAGAATTCCTTGCTGGCATGCCACCTCACAAAAAATAGCAAAATAAATTCTTTAGGCTGAAAGCAAATGGCCTAGACAGTAACTTAAACCCACAAACAAAATTTAAAGAGCACCAATGTAGATAATTTTGTAATTATAAAAACAATAGTGTAAATGCATATTTCTTCTTCTTTCTTTACTTAACTAATTTTAAAAGCAATTGTGGGCTCTGTGTGTGTGTGTGTGTGTGTGTGTGTGTGTATGTGTTTAAAATTGTATTGTTGGGTCTACACATATAGAAATGTATTTATTTTACAATAATAGCACAAAACCAGTAGGTGGGAGCAAAGCTGCACTGGAATAAGGAAATATCAGCTGATGGTAACTTGAATCCACAGGTACAATAAAAAGAGCCAAAAATGATAAATAAGAAGGTTAATATAACAAAATCTATAAATACATACTTGCTTTCCTTTCTTCTCTCAGCTTCTTTAAAAGGTACAGAATTCCATAAAGTAATAGTTATAACTATGTTATTTTGGGTTTGCAACATATATAGATATAATATGTATAACAATAATGACACAAAAGGAGAACAGAATATAGAGCTATACAAAAGCAGCATTTCTATAACTCGTTGGAATTAAGTTAGTATAATCTGAAGCAGATTCTGATAAGTTAAAATGTGTATGGTAAGGCCTAGAGCAACCACTAAGAAAATAACTAAAAAAAAAAATACAGATAAATGAGATTAACCAAGAAAAGAAGAGAGACTATCCAAATAAGCTCAATTAGAAATGAAACTGGAGATATTACAACCAATACCACAGAAATACAAAAATCATTCAAGGCTACTATGAATAGCTTTACACACACAAACTAGAGAATCTAGAGGAAATAGATAAATTCCTGGGAACATACAACTCTCCTAGAATAAATCAGGAAGAAATATAAACCCTGATCGGACCAATAACAAGTAGTGAGATTTCAACAGTAATAAAAAAAATTTCCAACAACAACAAAAGTTCAGGACTAGATGGATTCACAGCTGAATTCTATCAGACATTCAAAGAAGAATCAGTACCAATCCTACAGAAACTTTTCAAAAGATACAGAAAGAGGGAATCCTCCCTAAATCATTCTATGAAGCCAGTATCACCCGAATACCAAAACCAGGAAAGGACATAACAAAAAAAGAAAACTACAGACCAATATCCCTGATGAACATAGAGGCAAAAATCCTCAACAAAAATACTAGCTAACCAAATCCAACAGCATATCAAAAAGATAATCCACCATGATCAAATGGGTTTCATCCCAAGGATGCAGGGAATGTTTAGCATACTCAAGTCAATAAATGTGATCTCTCACATAAACAGAATTAAAAACAAAAATCATCTGATCATCTCAATAGATGCAGAAAATAATTTTATAAAATCCGGCATTGCTTTATGATAAAAACCATTAACAAAATAGGCATAAAAGGGACTTACCTCAAAGTAATAAAAGCCGTATATGACAAACCCACAGTCAACACCATACTGAATGGGGAAAAGTTGAAAGCATTCCCCCGATAAATGGAATAAGACAAGTATGCCCACTTTCACCACTTCTATTTAACATAGTACTAAAAGTCCTCGCCAGAGCAATCAGACAAGAGAAAAAATAAAGGGGATCCAAATTGGAAAATAGGAAGTCAAATTGTCGCTGTTCACCAATGATATGATCATGTACCTAGAAAACCCTAAAGACTCATCCAAAAACCTCCTAGATCTGATAAACAAATTCAGTGAAGTCTCAAATTACAAAATCAATGTACACAAATCAGTAGCACTGCTATACAGCAGCAACAACCAAGCTGAAAATCAAATCAAGAACTCAATCCCTTTTATAACAGCTGTAAAAATAAAATACTTAGGAATGTACTTACCCAAGAAAGTGAAAGATTTCTACAAAGAAAACTACAAAACACTGCTTAAAGAAATCATAGATGACACAAAAAAATGGAAACACATCCCACACTCATGGATGGAAAGAATCAATATTGTGAAAATGACCGTATTGCCCAAAGCAATCTACAGGTTCAGTGCAATTCCTATCAAAATTCCATCATCATTCTTCATGGAACTAGAAAAAACAAATCTAAAATTTATATGGAACCAAAAAAGAGCCCACATTGCCAAAGCAATACTAAGCAACAACAACAACAAAAAATCAGGAGGCATTACATTACCCAACATCAAATTATCCTGCAAGGCTATAGTTACCAAAATAGCATGATACTGGTATAAAAATAGGCAGGTATACCCACGTATACCAATGGAGCAGAATAGAGAACCCAGAAATAAAGCCAAATACTTATAGCCAACTGATCTTTGGCAAAGCATACAAAAACATAAACTGGGAAAAAAGAAACACCCTATTCAATAAATGGTGCTAGGAAAACTGGCAAGCTACATGTAGAAGAATAAAACTGGATCCCCATCTCTCACCTTATTCAAAAATCAACTCAAGATGGATCGAAGACTTAAATCTAAGACCTGAAACAATAAAAATTCTAGAAGATAGCATTGGGAAAACTCTTCTAGACATTGGCTTAAGCAAAGAATTCATGACTAAGACCCCAAAAGCAAATGCAACAAAAACAAAAATAAATAAATGGGACTTAATTAAACTAAAAAGCTTCTGTACAGCAAAAAATAATAATAATAATAGTCAGCAGCAGAGTAAACAGACAACCCAGAGAGTGGGAGAAAATATTTGCAAACGGTGCATCTGACAAAGGACTACTATTCAGAATCTACGAGAACTCAAACAAATCAGTAAGAAAAATTAAATAATCCCATCAAAAAGTGGGCAAAGGACATGAATAGACATGTCTCAAAATAAGATATACAAACAGCCAACAATCATGAAAATATGCTCAATGTCACTAATCATCAGGGAAATGCAAATTAAAGCCACAGTGAGGTACCACCTTACTCCTACAAGAATGGCCATAATTAAAAAGTCAAAACACAATAGATGTTCACATGGATGTGGTGATAAAGGAACACTTTTACACTGCTGGTGAGAATATAAATTAGTACAATCACTATGGAAAACAGTAAGAAGATTCCTTAAAGAACTAAAAGTAGAACTGCCATTTGATTCAGCAATCCCACTACTGGGTATCTACCCAAAGGAAACAAAAAAGTCACTATATGAAAAAAACATATGCACATGCATGATTATAGCAACACAACTTGCAATTGCAGAGAAATGGAACCATCCTAAGTGCGCATCGACCAACAAGTGGATAAAGAAAATGTGGTATATCTACACCAAGGAACACTACTCAGCCATAAAAATGAATGAAATAATGTCTTTTGCAGCAACCTGGAAGGAGCTGGAGGCCATTACTCTAAGTGAAATAACTCAGGAATGGAAAACCAAATGCCATTTGTTCTCACTTATAAGTGGTAGCTAAGCTATGAGGATTCAAAGGAATAAGAATGATATGATGGACTTTGGGGACTTGGGAGAGAAGGTTGAGAGGAGGATGAGGGATAAAAGACTACCTGTTGGGTAGTGTACACTGCTCGGGTGATGGGTGTGCTAAAATCTCAGAAATCACTGCTAAACGTATTCATGTAACCAAAAACCACCTGTACCCCCAAAAACTATTGAAATTAAAAAATAAGAAAAAGAAAAATATACAGACAAAAAAATTAATGGAATTAAAGTGTTACATTAGAAAATATTCACTTAATCCAAAAGAAAGCAATAAAGGAGGAATACAGGAAACAAAAGACATACAGAAAACAAATAGCAAAATGGCAGATATAAATCCAACTATATCAATAACAATGTTCAATGTTAAGGCATTAAACAATTTAATCAAAAGGCAGAGATTATCAAACTGGACACAAAAGCAAGATCTAACTATATTTTGTCTATATGAGATGAATCTTAGATTCAAAATTATAAATAGGCCAAAAGGCAAAGGATGGGAAAAGATATATCATACAAAAGTTACCATAAGAAAGCTGGAGTAGCTATACTAGTATTAGACAAAATAGACATTAAAACAAAAATGTTACTCAAGATAAAGAACATTTTACAATAACAAAAGGAGTTAATCCATCAGGGAAATATAATAATCATAAACATAAATGCACCTAATAACAGAGCTCTAAAATACATAAAACTAAACTAAAATAATTGAAAAGAGAAATAGACAATGTAAAAATAATAGTTAGGGACTTCAATTCCCTATTTTCAGTAAAGAACAGAACAACTAGGAAGGAGATCAACAAGACTACAGAAGACTGTTTATAAGCTAACTAGACCTAACAAATGTCCACAGAATACCCCACCCAATGAAAGCAAATTTTTCTCAAGTGCACATGGAACATTCTCTGGATAAACCATTTTCGGTTTTGTTGGTTTTTGTTGGTTGGTTTTTTTGAGATGGAGTCTCACTCTGTCGCCAGGCTGGAGTGCAGTAGTGTGATCTTGGCTCACTGCAATCTCTGCTTCCTGAGTTCAAGTGATTCCCCTGCCTCAGCCTCCCAAGTAGCTGGGACTACAGGCACGCACCACCACACCCAGCTAATTTTTTGTATTTTAATAGAGACAGGGTTTTACCATGTTGGCCAGGATGGTCTCAATCTCCTGACCTCATGATCCGCCCACCTTGGCCTCCTAAAGTGCCAGGATTACAGGTATGAGCCACCGCACCTGGTTGGATCAACCATTTTCTAGGCCACAAAAGAAGCCTCAATAAATTTCTGAGGGTTAAAATCATATAACATATGTTTTCTGACCACATGAAATAAAAGAAATCAATACAAAAAGAAATTTGAGAAATTCACAATAAGTTGAAATTAAACAACATATTCCCTAAATAACAATGGGTCAAAGAAGAAATCCCAAGAGAAATTAGAAAATCTTTGACATGAATGAAAATGAAGACACAATATATAAGACACAGTATAGGATGCAACTAAAGCAGTGCTTAGAAGAAAATTTATATCTATAAATAACTATGTTAAAAAAGAAGAAATTTTCTATCACTAAACTAACCTTCCACCTTAAAACACTAGAAGAGCAAACTCAGCGTAAAGCAAGCAGAAGAAAAGAAATAATAAAGATTAAAACAGAGATAAAGAGAACAGAAAAAAATAGAGAGCATCAATAATACCAAAAGTTAGTTCTTTGAAAAAAAATCAACAAAATGGACAAATCTTTAGCTAGATTGATGAAAGCTAGAGAGAAAGGCTCAAACTGTCAAAATCAGAAATGAAAAAGGGGACATTACTACATTACTACTGTTATGTGATGAAATGTGTCTCCCCCGATAAAAACAAAACTTATATATTGAAGTCCTAACCCCCAGTTCTTCAGAATGTGACTGTATTTGGACGCAGGACCTTGAAAGAGGTAATTAAGGTAAGTGAGGTAATTTGGGAGGACCTAATCCAAAATAATTGGTGTCCTTATTAAAAAAAAAAAGATTAAGACATAGACAATGCACAGCGTGAAGTTCACAGAGAGGAGATGGTCATCTACAAGCCAAGGAGAGAGGCCTGAGAAGAAATTAATTTCCAAGGACTTAATCTTAGACTTCTAGACTCCAGAATCATGAGAAAATACATTTCTTTCTTTTTTTTTTAGTTGAGACAGAGTCTTGCTCTGTCACCCAGGTTGGAGTGCTGTGGCGTGATCTCAGCTCACTCCAACCTCCGCCTCCCAGGTGTCTCATGCGTCAGTGTGAAGAGACCACCAAACAGGCTTTGTGTGAGTAACAAGGCTGTTTATTTCACCTGGGTGCAGGCGGGCTGAGTCTGAAAAGACAGTCAGCAAAGGGTGGTGGGATTATCATTGGTTCTTATAGGTTTTGGGATAGGAGGTGGAGTTAAGAGCAATGTTTTAGGGGCAGGGATGGATCTCACAAAGTACATTCTCAAGGGTGGGGACAATTACAAAGAAACTTCTTAAGGGTGGGGGAGATTATAAAGAACCTTCTTAAGGGTGGGGGAGATTACAAAGTACATTGATCAATTACGGTGGGGCAGAAACAAATCACAATGGTGGAATGTCATCAGTTAAGGCTATTTTCACTTTTGTGGATCTTCATTTGCTTCAGGCCATCTGGATGTATACGTGCAGGTCACTGGGGATATGATGGCTTAGCTTGGGCTCAGAGGCCTGACACCAGGTTCAAGCAATTCCCCTGCCTCAGCCTCCCAAGTAGCTGGGATTACAGGCATGTGCCACCACACCCAGCTAATTTTTGGGTTTTTTTTTGTTTTTTTTTTTTTGAGTAGAGACAGGATTTCACCATGTTGGCCAGGCTGGTCTCAAACTCCTGACCTCAAGTGATCTGCCCACCTCAGCCTCCCAAAGTGCTAGGATTACAGGCGTGAACCACTGCACCTGGCCAGAAAATAAATTTCTATTGTTTAAGCCACCCAATCTGTGATACTTTGTTATGGAGGTCCTAGCAACTAATGCACCAACTTTTCAGAAATAAAAATGATTATAAAACGATACTCTATGCCAGCAAATTAGACAACTTAGAAGAAATGAACATATTTCTAGAAAGACACTGCCAAGACCAGCTCGGTCGGGGAGACCCTAACCCAGTGGTACTAGAAGAATTAAAGACACACACACAAAAACATAGAGGTATGAAGTGGGAAATCAGGGATCTCATAGCCTTCAGAGCTGAGAACCCCAAACAGAGTTTACCCACGTATTGATTAACAGCAAGCCAGTCATTAGCTTTGTTTCTATAGATATTAGATTAACTAAAAGTATTCCTTATGGGAAACGGGATTAACTAAAGGTATCCCTTATGGGAAAGGAAGGGATGGGTCTGGCTTGTTATCTGCAGCAGGAGCATGTCCCTAAGGCCCAGATCTCTCATGCTATTGTTTGTGGTTTAAGAATGCCTTTAAGCGGTTTTCTGCCCTGGGTGGGCCAGGTGTACCTTGCCCTCATTCTGGTAAACCCACAACCTTCCAGCGTGGGCATTATGGCTATCATGAACATGTCACAGTGCTGCAGACATTTTGTTTATGGCCAGTTTTGGGGCCAGCTTATGGCCAGATTTTGGGGGGCCTGTTCCCAACAGACACAACTACTGAAGGTGACTCAAGAAGAAACAGAAAATCTGAATGGACCTATAACAAGTAAAGAGAATGAATTAGTCATGTTAAATTTCCCACAAAGGAAGGCCCAGATCCAGATGGCTTCAAATGGTGAATTCTACCAAATTCTAAAGTAGAATTAAGATCAATCTTTTACAAACACTTCCAAAAAATAAAAGAGAAGAGAGTATTTCTCAACTTATTCTATGGGGCCAGTATTATCCTACACCAAAACCAGACAAAGACATCACAAGAAATGAAAACTACACATCAATATCTCTTATGAGGCCAGTCACAGTGGCTCATGCCTATATCCCAGCACTTTGGGAGGCCGAGGAGGATCACTTGAGGCCAGGAGTTTGAAGCTGCAGTGAGCTATGATTGCACCATTGCACTCCACCCTGGGTGGCAGAGTGAGACCCTGTCTCTATAAAATATATGTATTATATTTTATAATAGATATAAATGTTATATATAGAGAGAGAGATCTTATTAATATAGGTACAAAAATCCTCAACAAAATACCAGCAAACAAAATTCAGCAGTATATAAAAAGGATTACACACCCGGACTAGCTGGGATTTATCCTAGGAATGCAAAGTTGGTTTAACATCCAAAGTTCAACTAATTTAATACATCATATCAGTAGAATAAAGGACAAAACCCACATGATCATTTCAATGGATTCAGTAAAACATTAAGTAAATTCAATACCCTGTCATGATGAAAACACTGAACAAACTAGGAATAGAAGAAACCTTCATCAACCTGATAAAGGGAATCCACCAAAAAAATTCACACACACACACACACACACACACACACACACACACAGCTGAGATCATACTTAATGAGGAAAGACTGAATGCTTTCCTGCTAAGATCAGAAATAAGATAAAAATATCTACTTTTATCACTTCTATTCAACATTGTCCCAGAGGTCCTATTCAGGGAAATTAGGGAAGAAAATTAAATAAGGGCTTTCAGATTGGAAAGGAAGAAGTAAACTATCTCTATTTGCAGAATGCAAGATCAAGATATAAACTGTAGGCTGGGCATAGTGGCTCACGCCTGTAATCCCAGCACTTTGGGAGGCCAAGGCAGTATGATCACTTGAGCCCAGGAGTTTGAGACCAGCCTGGGCAACATAGTGAGCCCCCTCTCTAAAAAATATTTTTTAAATCCAGGCATAGAGGCACATGTCTGTAGTCCCAGCTATTCGGGAAGCTGAGGTGGGAGAATAACTTAATTCAGGAGTTCGAGGCTGCAGTGGACTGTAATTATGCCACTGCACTCCAGCTTGGGTAGCAGAGTGAGACCCTGTCTCTTAAAAGATAAAAATAAAAAATATTGAAATACCTAGAATTAGGGTATGATTTCTTCACTATTACACCAAAAATACAAGCAACTAAAGAAAAAATAGATACATTTGACTTCATCAACATTAAAAATGTTTGCACTTCAAAGGACATTATCAAGAAAGTGAAAGGACAACAACAAGAATGGCAGCAAATATTTATAAATTTATATACCTGGTAAGAGTCTAGTGTCCACCATACACACACACACACACACACACACACACACACCTCAATAATAAAAAGACAACCCAATTAAAGATGGGCAAAGCATTTGAATAGACATTTCTCCAAAGAAGATAAACAAATTGCCAATAAGCACATGAAAAGATGCTCAACATGACCAGTCATTAGAGAAATGCAAACCAAAACCACAGAGCAATGCCATTTCCCATTACTAGGAAGGCTATAATGAAAAAGATAAGACAATAACAAGTGTTGTTAAGAATGTAGAGAAATTAGGCCATGCGCAGGGGCTCGTGCCTGTAATCCCAGCACTTTGGGAGGCCGAGGCGGGCAGATCAACTGAGGTCAGGAGTTCAAGACCAGCCATGACCAACATGGTGAAATCCCGTCTCTACTAAAAATACAAAATTAGCTATGCGTGGTGGTGCATGCCTGTAATCCCAGCTACACAGGAGGCTGAGGCAGGAGAATCGCTTGAACCCGGGAAGCGGAGGTTGCAGTGAGCCGAGATCGTGCCATTGCACTCCAGCCAGAGCAATAAGAGTGAAACTCCATCTCAAAAAAAAAAAAAAAAAAGAATGTAGAGAAGTAGAGAAATTGAAACCTTCATACATGCTGGTGAGAATGTAAAATGGTACCACCTTTTTACTACTTTCTGTAGGTTCGTGATTGCTTAGGGCTGAGGGGACTTGGGGGGAAATTGGGAGTAATTGCCAATGGGTACAGGGTTACTTTGGGGAATGTTAAAAATGTTCTAAAATTCAGATTGTTGCACAACCTCTGTTAATATATTAGAAACCATTGAACTGCACAGGCTAAATGGATGAATTGTAAGGTATGTAAATTATAACTCGATAAATCTGTAAATAGATAGATGATAGATAGATAGATAGATAGATAGATAGATAGATAGATAGACAGACAGACAGATACAACATTTTTTGAGACAGGGCCTCACTCCCACTGTCCAGGCTTGAGTGCAGTGATGCAATCTCAGCTCACTGCAGCCTTAACTTCCCAGGTTCAGGTGATCTTCCCACCTCAGCCTCCCACTGTTATATTTTTAAAAGCAGGGGACGGAGAGGAGGAGGGAGGAAAGCAGAAGGGAAGGTAAGGAGGAAGGAGAAAGGGAGAGAGGGAAGGAGAAGGAAAAGGGAGGGGAGGGGAAGGGAGAGGGATGAGGGTTAATTAATGAGTGGGTGACTTAGCAGGAAGTCCTGATTGACAGGTCAGGCCACTGCAGGAACAATTTATACAGCCAAGAAGTAATTGAACAGATTTAGATTTGACCACAAACCTGAGCAGACACCTGAATTCTCACTGTTATGGTAGCTCATTAAAAAGAATGAGAAAAAGGCAATAGATGATTGAATGGGACTTTTTCAGTGTCTATCAGTTTTTTCTAAAGCCCAAAGCTGAAAACATCCAGCACATAGCACTGCAATGTATTTTAAGGCCTAAAATTTCATAGGCTGCCTTGACATCTCTGAGCACCATGGAGCTTCAAAGGCCTAACCGCAAGCTCCCCCGCAGTTAGGGGTTAGAGTTCTCCAGAGGTGCCCCCACCCCACAGAAGAGGCTCCCCATCCTCTAGTTCCCCTGTCACCCAGACCAGCTGGACTCCACCTGGCCGTCAACCTAATAGGTTTACTTACCTGCCAGCCTGTGAAATTATTCAAAAAGGCCAATCACATCCTCCCATGGGAACTGGGGTCCACCCCATCCTCTTGTCACTCCACAGCCTGCCTCCTACAGCCCTGCTACAAGTGCACCCGCCCGTGTGGCCCTGTGTGACATGCGCATCCTCCATCCCTGGGGCTGTGAGTTCATGTGACTAATGAACTGCTGTTGATCTCATCTGTCCCATGTCGGCTGTCATATGTTGGGCCATCCCATAATATTTAAGGCAGAGGATCCCTCCCTCAGCAGTGGAGTGAAAAGGAGGCACTCAGAACCCCCCATTCTAAAGGTGACATCACAGAGCTGCCCCCAGCCCCAGGTGTGCTGTGAAGTGGCCCAGCTGTCCTGGAACCACCATCTCCTCCAGCCTATTTGAGCATGAAGGGGGTTCACTGAGGCAGGGGTGTGCTTGGAGAAGGGGTGCCATGGCTCTCCTCCCACCACTTCAAGTCACATGAGGGGCCCCCAGGGAATGACTGGGAGAGATGCAGCACCTGCCTGGGGAAGGGGCATGGGAGAGGACCCCACACCCCGGCTACCTGTTGAGTGGTTGTGGAAACACACAGGCCCTTCCTATCTGGAGCTTGCCATGGACCCCACAAGTTTGGCACATACATGGATTTAGAGACTGGTGCCTACTTATTGCCAGAAGCTTGAAGGTGGCCGGTTAGCCAAGCAGCCTGAGATGGCCAGGCAGTGGGAATAGCCTACACCCACCTCTTATAGTGACAAGGATGACGGGAAACTCCAGAGAAAGTGGCCTGTGGACCTCTTGAAGATACAGATATGCCTCATGTTATTGCACCTTGCTTTATTGCGCTTTGCATATATTGTATTTCTTACAAATTGAAGGTTTGCAGCAACCCTGCATGGAGCAAGTCTATCAGCACCATTTTTCCAAAAGCAAGTGCTCACTTCGTGTCTCTGGGTCATATTTTGGTAATTTGTGCAATATTTCAAACTTTTTCACTATTATTATATCTGTTAGGGTGATCTGTGATTAGTGATCTGTGATCTGATGTTACTACTGTTATTGTTTTGAAGCACCGTGAGCCATGCCCGTGTAAGACGGTGAACTCAGTCGGTTAATGCTGTGTGTGTTCTGAATGCTTCACTGACCATTTCACATCTATCTCCCTCTCCTTGGGCCTCCCAATTCCCGAGGCACAATAACATTGCAGTTAGACCAATTAATAACACTACAATGGCCTCTAAATGTTCAAGTGAAAGGAAGAGTTGCATATCTCTCACTTTAAGTCAAGCTCTAGAAATGGTTTAGCTTAGTGGGAAAGGCATGTCAAAAGCCAAGATGGGCCAAAAACTGAGTCTCTTGCACCAGTTAGCCAAGTTTTGAATGCAAAGGAAAAGTTCTTGAAGGAAATTAAAAGTGCTACTCCAGTAAACACATGAATGATAAGAAAGCAAACAGCCTTATTGCTGATATGGAGGAAATTTTAGTGGTTTGGATACAAGATCAAACCAGCCACGACATTCCCTTGAGCCAATGTCTAATCCAGAGCAAGGCTCGAACTCTCTTCAATTCTATGAAGGCTGAGAGTTGAGGAAGCTACAGAAGAAAAGTCTGAACCCAGCAGAGATTGGCTCATGAGGTTTAAGGAAAGAAGGTATCTTCATAACATCAAAGTGCAAAGAGAAGCTGCAGCAAGTTATCCAGAAGACCTAGCCAAGATCAATGATGAAGGTGGCTACATAAACAACAAATTCTCAAAGTAAATAAGACAGCCTTCTGTTGGAAGAAGATGCCATCGAGGACTTTCATAACTAGAGACATTCATAGTCAATGCCCGGCTTCAAAGCCTCAAAGGACAGGCTGACTCTCTTGTTAGGAGCTGATGCAGCTGGTGATTTTAAGTTGAAGTCAATGCTCATTTACCATTCTGAAAATTCTGGAGCCTTTAAGAGTAACGCTATATCTACTCTACCTGTGCTCTATAAATGAAACAACAAAGCCTGGATGACAGTATATCTGTTTACAGAATGGTTTACTGAATATTTTAAGGCCACTGTTGAGACCTACTGCTCAGAAAAAAACTGTTCTTTTCAAAATATCACTGCCCATTGACAATGCACCTAATCACCCAAGAGCTCTGATGGAGACATGCAAGGAGTTAATGTTGTTTTCATGCCCACTAATACAACATCCATTCTGCAGCCCATGGATCAAGGAGCAATTTCAACTTTCAAGTCTTATTATTTAGGAAATACATTTTGTAAGGCTCTAGCTGTCGTAGATAGTGATTCCTCTGATGGATCTGGGCTAAGTAAATTGAAAACCTTCCTGAAAGGATTCACCATTCTAGATGCCATTAAGAACATTTGTAATTAATGGGAAGAGGTCAAAATAGCAACATTAACAGAAGTTTGGAAGAAATTGATTCCAACCCTCCTGAATGATTTTGAAGGGTTCAAGACTTCAATGGAGGAACTCACTGCAGATGTGGTGGGAATAGCAAGAGAAGTAGAATTAAAAGGGGAGCCTGAAGAGGTGACTGAGTTGCTGCAATCTCATGACTAAACATGACTGGCAGCCAGGCGCAGTGGCTCAAGCCTGTAATCCCAGAACTTTGGGAGGCCGAGGTGAGCGGATCATCAGAGGTCAGTAGTTCAAGACCAGCCTAGCCAACATGGTGAAACCCCTTCTCTACAAAAATACAAAAATTAGCAGGGCATGGTGACATGTGCCGGTAGTCCCAGCTACTCAGGAGGCTGAGACAGGAGATCACTTGAACCCAGGAGGCAGAGGTTGCAGTGAACTGAAATTGTGCCACTGCCCTCCAGCCTGGGCAACAAAGCGAGACTCCATCTCAAAACAAAACAAACAAAAAAAAACCTTGAATGGATGAGGTGTTGCTTCTTATGAATGAGCAAAGAAAAC
Organism: Homo sapiens; assembly: GCF_000001405.40. Classification (NCBI taxonomy): domain Eukaryota; kingdom Metazoa; phylum Chordata; class Mammalia; order Primates; family Hominidae; genus Homo; species Homo sapiens. The sequence goes on from NC_000007.14 coordinate 150,894,760, forward strand.
AGTTTCTTCTTTCTTTTTTATTTTCTTTTTTGAGACAGAGTCTTGCTCTGTTGCCCAGGCTGGAGTGCAGTGATGTAATCATGAATCACTGCAGCCTCAAGCTCCTCAAGTAATCCTCCCACCTCAGCCTCCAAAATAGCTAGAACAAGTGAATGCTACCATGCCTGGTTCTTTTTCTTTCTTTTTTTTTTTTATATATAGGCAGGGTCTCACTATGTCGCCCAGGCTGGTCTCAAAGTCCTGGCCTCAAGTGATCCTTCCACCTAGGCCTGGGATGATTCCAGGCTGGGATTACAGACATGAGCCACCACATCCTGCCTGTTTCCTTAGATGGAATATACTCCTGGTAAAGACGCTGTAAACATTGTTGAAACGACAACAAAAAAATTAGAATATGACATAAACTTGGTTGATAAAGCAGCAGCAGGGTTTGAGAGAATTGACTCCAATTTTGAAAGAAGTTCTACCTTGGGTAAAATGCTACCAAACAGCATTGCATGCTACAAGGCAATATATTATGAAAGGACAGTCCATTGATGTGGCAAAATTCATTGTTTTCTTGTTTTAAGAAATTGCCACAGCCACCCCAGCCTTCAGGAACCACCACCCTGATCAGTCAGCAGCCACCAACACCAAGGCAGAACCCTCCACCAGGAAAAAGATGATGACTCACTGAACGCTCAGATGATTGTTAGCATTTTTTTGCAATAAAGATTTTTTTAATTTAAAGTATGTACATTGTATTTTTGACATAATGCTATTGAACACTTAATAGGCCACAGTATAATATAAACATAACTTTTATATGCACTGGAAAACCAGTGGATTTTTATAACTCACTTTATTGCAATATTTGCTTTATTGCGGGGTCTGAAAGTGAACCCACAATATTTCCAAGGTGTGTCTGCACCTGTTGTGGGTTGAACTGTGTCCTCCAAAAAGATATATTGAAGTTCTAACCCTTGGTACCTATCACTGTGACCTTATTTGGAAACAGGTCTTTGCAGATGTGATCAGTTAAGACGAGGTCACGCTAGAGTAGCGTGGACCCTAATCCAATGGCCAGTGTCCTTATAAGAAGAAGAGAAGACACAGAGAGACACATACACACTCAAAGAAGAAGCCCATATGCAGACAGAGGCAGAGATTGCAGTGATGCTTTCACAAACCATGAAACACCTGGGGCTACCAGAAGCCAGATGGATAAGGAAGCATGCTCCCCTAGAGGTTGCAGAAGGAGCGTGGCCCTACCAACACCTTGATTTTGACCTTCTGGCCTCCAGAACCATGAAAGAATACATTTCTGTTGTTTTGAGTCACCCAGTTTATGCACCTTGTGGTGGTGGCCACAGGAATCCAGTAACACCCCCTTCTAAGAGGGCAGCCAGGCAGACGAGGAGAACTATGCAGTTAGAGGCTGTGGGGTGGACAGCAGGGGACAGGTCATCAGGGCACTGTGCAGGTCCAGGTCCATGATGCTCGGAAGAACACACACCTGCATCCAGCAGAAGAGCCAGTGTTGCATATCAGCCACCCAGAGCCCAAGGGTCCATGTAAGCAAAAATGGCCACGCCAGTGGGGCCACTTTTCCTCCAAGCCCCCTCCCCTCCATCCTGGCCCCAGGAGCATCAGCAGGTGTGGGAGAGGAAGAGAGGAGGGGACGGCCAGACCTGCCCCTCCCCAGGGTAGGAGCCTTGGACCTGGGGTCCAGCAGAGCTGGGAGGAGAGGCAAAACTGAACTGGATGTCAGATGTTGGTTGAACTTGACAGACCTGTTTCACACACAAACACAATCAAAAAACTATGGTGGGATCTGCGCCAGCCTGATTAAGGTGGGGAAGGAAGATCCAGCAAGACACACGGGTTGGGAATCAGGGACTGCTGGGAGACTTAGCACGGAGACACTGGACTTCAGGGAACTGGAAGCTGGGAGGATGGGTGAACTAAGAGATAAACAGGGTGGGTACTCCAGAGACAGCAATGCCCAGAGAGGCAGGGGCAGAGGGAGGGCGTGGAGTTCCCAGACCCTGCAGCCGGGTCACCAGTGGAAGCTGGGAGCCCTGGGGGCCTGTCTGTCGCAGCTGGAGAGAAAGGGAGAGAAGGTCCAGCCCCCTCTGTCTCATGCTCAGGCCTCCCATGGGTGGAACCTGGAAGTGTGGGAGATACCACTTGCAGGGGTCTGTCCCCACAAGACATGGCAGAGGAGGGAGAGGACAAGTGTAGAGTCTCAGGACAACAGATCCAGGACCAGCACCGCATGTAGAAAGGCAGTGAAAGGAAAGGGGGAGACCTCCACTTCGGCCCTGCCCCCTCCCTATCTAGCTCCGACTGGTCGGCAAACTGGTTCCCAGCCATGCAGCCCCAGGAAATGGCATTGATGGTGCTTGGACCCAAAGTCATGTCTGTGGGGTTCATCTCCTGGAGGAGGATCCCTGGCCACACCCCTTGGGGTGGACAGATCCCTCTCCCTGGAAATTCCCCTTTGGGGTAGGCAGATCCCTCCATCTAGCAATTTGCAGTTCACAGACCCCAGAATGCAGGGCCAGAGACAGGGACACTCCCAGAGTTACCCGGGACATCCCTGTATGTGTTTGGTTGTGGATCAGAGGAGGGAGAGGCTTGTTCAACACACAGCCACCTGCCCCTCACCAGAGACAGAGACCCTGGGGCTGGGGAGGAATCCAGTCCATTCGCTCCAGACACCCACCCCAGGCTCAGGAACAGTGCAGAAGAGAGACAGGGGCTGGCTCCGAGTGAGAGAGACACCCGCCATTCCCAAACCCTCTTTGCGGAGGACCACGAAGAACCCACCAAGCAGTGTAAGGAAAGAAGAAAACAAACAAGGACTTATGACCCGGGCCCACCTCTCACTCCAGCCCCAAGTCACTTCCCCTTCATGTAAAGCAGGTGTTATTTTGTTTGCGGCTCTTCAGCTGCCAGGTGGGGATGCAAATGAGAAAAGCTGAGACTCAGTTGTTTCACAGAAAGAAGAGGAAACCAGAAGATGTCGGGACACCAGAGCCTGTTGCTTTTCGAGGCCTTTTAGGATAGGGTAGCAATTGAAGGTGGCCTCAGAAAAGGATGATTGGGAAAGGGGGAGGTAACTGAGGTCCCCTCACCTAGCCTGGGGGCCCCTTCTCTTCACCAACACCTACAAACCCTTGGCCTCAAAACCCAGGCAGTGTTCCGGCCACCTCATGTAGCAAGGGGAGCCTGGAGACAGAGGACGGGCCCCGGGTCACACACAGAGTGGCCAGATTGGGTGGAGACCTGCGTGTCCTGGCACCAGGAGTCTCTCCACGAGCCTCTGCAATTTCTCAAACTTCAGTGAGATGAAGACTCATTTTTGCAACTTGGTCTCTATTTGCTGCACTGTTGGCCATTTCAAGCTTGTACCCGCAGTCAGCAAAAGGAAGTGTTAATAAGCTCGCCCACATAAACCCACTTTGCCCACTGCTCAAACCACCGCAAACCAATTTTTCCAGGCTGCTGCCAGGTTAGGCTCCCTTGGTGTTAATTTCCTGCTCAGTAAAGCAGTGAGTCATCTCCCTCCCTTCTCTCCAGCTCTCACTATTGCTCTGAGACCAGAGTCTGCAGCAGAGGGGTCACATGGAATCCTTTAGTACAGAAGTTCACGACCTGGACGAGGAGACGCAGGGACCGCCAACTGGCTCCTTGGAAACTGCCCGCAGTTGATTCCGAAAACACACCTGAGCCGAGAAGCTCCATGCAATCTGGAATTCCTGGAGTTCTTGTCAGCGTCCACTGCCATGCAGGACTCTGGGGCACTTGGCTTGTCATTGGCTAAAAGATGGGCTGGGTTCGAGGTGCAGATAGCTGCATTTTAGCCGCTGGTGCTGTCTCGCTTGGAGGAATGCTGTCTGCCACGCGACCACCAGGTGGCGCACAACACCTCGCGGCGACTGGACCGGGCACGGCTGCCTCTTATTAATCCCGCGGAGAAAACAGAGGCTGGAAATGCCCCCGGGGTGAGGCTTGACCAAGAACGGCAGACTCAAAATGGCTCCCTGTGGACCAAGTTCAGCTGAATGGAACAGAAAAATGTGTTCACAGCGGCTTCAACAAGAGACAGTCGTGTTTCTCTGTAAACACAGTCCTGAGTGGCTTAGGGGCCCCATGAAGGCCTAGGGCACGCAGCCTCCTTCCTCCTCACGGCCTCCACCTGGGATGTAGCCCCCAGCCTCCTAGTCCACGGTGACTGCCAGAGCTCCAGCCATCTCATACAAGTCAGGCAGTAGGATGGAGGAGGGGACAGAGAAGGGTATGGCTACCTTCACTGTGCTTTGCCGGAATTCACAGACATCACTTGTCTTACAACTCATTGGCCAAGCCTTAGCCATGGAGGCTGGGGGTGGGCTCTTTTGCTGGGCTTTGCCACCCCCAAGTAATTTCAGGCTTTAGTTTAGAAGAAGAATATGAGGATGGCTATCTCACGGCGACGTCAGCCACATGTGAATATGCGCCACTGGAGTTCCCCTGCGCCAACCCAGCATATTTCCCATTCCCTGGAAACCTCAATAACTGGGGCTCACTTCCTGCCTGCCCCTTAACCGATTTGACTCCCAAATATATGTCCCATGTCCATATTCTTCTCTTACACGCCAAGACCTGTACCTCTACCTAAACGTCCTGTGAGAACCTCACACTCCACATGTCTAAGCCGGTTTATCACCTCCTCTATCCCCTGCACAGGCCAGCCCTTCCTCCTGTGCTCCCCAGCCCAGGGTCTATCATCATGTCCCTTGACCCAAGCCAAGAACCGAGAGCCTAGGCACCTGCTTCCCTCCACACAGCCCCTCTGCCATCTACCCGTGAGTCCCACCTTCCCAGCATTTCCTGAATTCGTTCCATCTTTCCTTTCCCCATGATGACTTACTGCTCATCACCCTGAGACCCCAGTCTCGCCTCCATCAGACCAACCTCAACGCGGCTTCCAGAGGGGTTGCTCTGAAATCCAGATCAAACCCTGTCACCCTTCTGATTGAAGCCTCCATGGCTCCCAAAATTTTCAACGTGATTTATCAAGACCTTGAGAATCTGACCCATCCCTACATCCTCCACGTATCAGTTAGCATGGGGTAAGCATTTAACATGTGCACAAACCAGGCAGTGACTCCCTCCGTCCTCACAGCTCCTCTCTGAGGTGGCGGGTGACAGTCTGGGTTATTATTATTCAGCAAATACTCACACTCCTCCCGTATAGACTCCCCTGCTCATTGATGTTGGACTTGACCACCTGACGTGTTTTGGCCCTGGGGCTGTTGGAGGATGGAACTAGCAGAAGCACTCCATGCGCCCACATGGCCTGGCTCCTTCTTTCCACTCCAGAAGTCCAGGGTAAGAAGAGCTTCCTCCAGAGAGCCTCTGCTGTGCCCCAGGACAAACTTGGTGCAACCACCTGAACTTGCGTCAAACCCAGGCTACCTACAGCCTAAGGCAGGGCCGTCCAGCCACACCTATCCTGGATCAGCCAAATTATAGCCATCTGAGACCTGTGAGTATGAGAGTAATTAACACTGGTTGTCATAATGCACTGAGTTTGAGAGCTGTTTGTTATTATGATTATTATTTTAGAGACAGAGTCTCTCTCTGTCTTCCAGGATGGAGTGCAGTGGTGCAATCACAGGTCACTCCTGCAGCCTTGAACTCCTGGGCTCAAGCAGTTCTCCCACCTCAGCCTCCTAAATATCTGGGACTACAGGTGTGCACCATGCCTGGCTAATTTTTTTTTTAGAGTAGGGGTCTCACTATGTTGCCCAGGCTGGTCTCAAACTCCTGGGCTCAGTGATCCTCCTGCCTCGGCCTCCCAAGGCGTTGGGGTGACAGGTGTGAACCACGGCACCTGGCCTGGGCAGCATTACTTTGACAAAATTATGACATCCTCATTTCCAGCCACACCAAAACTTGTTTCCACCTCAGGGCCTTGCATCTTCTGATTCCTCTGCGTCTGCCTCTCCTGACCTTAAAAGGTAAACCCAGCGCATCCAGTTCAAATGTCACTTCCCAAAGAGACTTTCTCCACGGCGACCCAGCCCCCACAGCCCTGTCTTCTGCCCTCACTGTTGCTGTAGGGAATTGCCTTATGCACTTGCACTTACTCTGTCTCTCTCTCCAGTGAGAACCCAGGCTCTGTACCATGGAGCACTCGCGGGTACCGGGGCCTCTTCCCTGTGCTTACCCAGCTGCTCTCACCCCTGGCCTCACTTGCCTCTCTGCCTCGCTGGGTTGAAAGCCCCTGGCTCATTTTTACACCTCCAGGACCTACACCTCTGGGACCTGGAACACAGCAGGCCCTCAGTAAACCTGGAATTCCAGTCGACTCTGGTGTTTCCAGCTTGCTGCGGGGAGGGCACCTTCTTTCTGGATGGAGGGGACCCTAGCCTGCTTCTGGACTCTGGGTGGGATGGAGGAGTCTCCCAGTTTAGAGACACTTTTCTAGAGTCCAGACTGGCCTTACTCTGTGATATTGTCCCTGCCCCCAGCTCCAGAGCAGGAAGAACCGGCCCAGGGCAAGGTCTGTAACTCGGGGATCAAAGGGCTGCTGCTGCAGCCAAGCCTCTGCAGAGCGAACTTGAGCTCCCTCCCCAGCCACACTGCACATGCACTGCACTCACCCTTGCAGCTCTGTGTCCGGCCCAGGCAGCCTCGGCCCGTCCCCTCCTTGCTCCGTGAGGCCTGAGTCCCTGTTTATTGAATATCTGGACTATACTACAAAGAGGTGAAATCAGAGGCCCCACAACCTCAAGGCCCCTGCTGCTTAGTGGGAAGCACTGATTCATGAGGAAGTAACTAGAAATTGTGGTGTAAATGCAGAGGTTACCTCTCCCTGCAGGCTGGGGTATGGCGAGGGGAGGGGTCTGGCAGAGGTCCAATGCATCAGAGTGAGCCAGGCTTGGGGAACTGTGGAGGGGGTGTTCCAACCGAGGGCGACAGCTTGATCGAAGGCACACAGTTGAGAAACATCACTGCATTCTGTGCTGGGAGCTGTAATAGTCCAGGGTGCCTGGAGTAAAATGTGACAGGTGGGCAGTTGCCTGGCTGAGCCTGGAGAGGGCCCGACCTTGGGGTTTACTGCACAGCTGGCGGGGCCTTGGCAGAGCTCTCTGCATGGCAGTGGCACAAAGAGATCTGTGAGCTTGCCATGATGACAGCGGGGTGGGGGGTGGATTAGGGAGGAACAAAAACAGAGAAATCATGCAGGAGACAGAAAATCTTCATACGAGAGATGATAGGAGTCTAAATCAGGGCCAAGGTAGGAGGCTTTGAAAGAAGAGGCACATCCAGGAAGGATCCCAGAGGTTAAAGCACCAGATCTCAGAGAATCCAGGACACACAGAAGGAAGGAGGGGGCATCAAGCTTGGGCACAGATATACTGCCACCGCCCACATCGGGACCCAGGAGGGAGAGCTGGACTGCAGGGTGGGGGTGGGAAATGTTACCAAGGGGGTAGGAGTCAAGGGCATGTGTCAAAGCCCAGCTTGTCCCTGAGCCTGCAGGAATGGTCGTGGATGGCGCGGGAACAGTTGGGCTGCGGGGTGGGGAGGCTGCTGAGGCAGAGCATATTAGCAGCGGGTCAGCAGCAGAGAGTGAAGGAGACAGGGCAAAATAGGGAGCTTGGAAAAGAGGGCCAATGTCTCTACTGAGCTGAGAAAATGAGACAGAGTGACAGAGATGAAAACTCAGAGGGAGGGAGATAGAGACTCAGAGAGAGACAGAGAGACAGAGCATGTGCACACCCAGCACAGGCAGCTGGGGCCCCACCCCCATCCCCAGGAGCCACACCTTTACAATGTCTTTCCCAGGCCACCCTCTCCTGGAGCCTCTCCTTCAGGCTCCTCTTTACCACTGATACCGGTCATTTTGTGTTACTCAGGACCTTTTTGGTTGCAAGTGATAAAACTTCAACTTGAACAAGATCAAGAAAAAGGAGATGAACTTTGACAAGATGCCTGGGAGTCGAGCCCAGTGAAGGAACGTTCAACAACCAGACCCTGGAGAAGGGCAGGGACCTGCCTCTGGGAGGAGCTGGCCGGGCGCTCACGCCTGAACTGGTTGATTTCATTCTCATCTTTTTCCTCTTGCAGGGCCATGGCCTTTGAGGACACTGCAGGCCCTGCAGCCTGAGAGAGAGTCTCTATTCCCAGGCCAGTTTGCAAACTCCCAAGAAAGACATCTCAGGGCTCAGGACCATGGACCATGGGGCAATGGACGGACCTGTAGGAACATTGTGGCTGAGTGGGGAGGGCAGTGCCCAGAAGAACATGCTGGGGCCAGGCACGAGGAAAGCAATAGGTGGGCCCTGAGGTCAGACGGCCACAGCAGAAGCGCCTCCTCACGCTGGGACTCCCTCCTCCTCCTTCTCCTTCACCTCCTCCTCTCTCTCCATCTCTCTTTTTTTTTTTTTTTTTTTGAGACGGAGTCTCGCTCTGTCACCCAGGCTGGAGTGCAGTGGCGTGATCTCGGCTCACTGCAAGCTCTGCCTCCCAGGTTGACGCCATTCTCCTGCCTCAGCCCCCTGAGTAGCTGGGATTGCAGGCGCCCACCACCACGTCCGGCTAATTTTTTGTATTTTTAGTAGAGACGGGGTTTCACCGTGTTAGCCAGGATGGTCTCAATCTCCTGACCTCGTGATCCGCCCGCCTCTGCCTCCCAAAGTGCTGGGATTACAGGCGTGAGCCACCACGCCCGGCCTCTCTCCATCTCTCTCTCCATACCTCTCTCTCTCTTTCTCTGTCTCTATTTGTCCCTCTCTCTTCTCCCCCTCTCCCCTACCCCCCTAAGCCTACCGGGCGGGGGGCTCCCTGCTTCTTCCCATCCCACATCACCCCTCCTGGCTTTCTCAGCCCTCTTGTCCTGCAGATTTTGTGGCCTTCACACACTCGCCACATTCTTGTTCCACCGTGGCACTCAGGGTCTCCATGGCTACCTATGCCCAGAGCTAAACAAAGCGCTGGTGTAGCTGGGCTCCAGCCAGGGCCCAGGGTGGCAGGCCCAGGACCTCCAGGTGCGGGCACTGTTTCCGCTGAAGCGGCCGGGCCACCGCCAGCTCTCTTGGCAGCCTTGGCACTGCTGAGTCACACTGGGCTTTCTGTTTCCATAAAACATGTTTCAGAGATTTATGAGGTAATCATGTGCTCACTACAGAAAAATTCGAAAACACAAATATAAAGGATCTATTTCTCCTCGGTCTTTTACTTATGCAAATTTTAAAACAAACGTCGACTTAGTCTATATATAGCTTTTGCTTAACTTCTTATCAAGAGCATTTACCCTGCTCATAATGTGTGAATGATATTCGTTTATGGATTACAAATACAATAGCGGACAGTTATTACTCTGCTGAATACTTTTTGCTGGCTATTTTATTTAACAAACTACCACGTGGTTTCCCCAAGAACAGTTAGATTCCCCATTTCACAAATGTGGAAGCTGAGGTTTAGAGTGGTTGAATAAATTGTTCACAGTCACACAGCTAGTACATGGCAGGTCCCAACTTTGAGGCCAAATCACCTTGTTTCACAGCCAATGTCATTTCTCTCCATGACCCCTCCTGCCTGTGTACCACAGGTCACAGGTGTGCATGAGGTGTCTGTGTGTCACAGGAGGGCATCACCACTCTCCTCCACCTGGGCTGAGCTATGTCCCTCCAGGACAGTGGTGGAGGATGCTTCCCAGGAGGAGTGACATCCTGTTTGTAAGCCACCAGCTTGTAAGTCATGGAGTTGCCTGTGGTGGCATGGCGGAAGCCTGGCTGTGCTCTGTGGGCCAAGGGCATGAGGGACAGGCAGCCCTTCATGGCAAAGAGCCAAAGAGTAATTCAGAAAACTAGAATTTGAATAGAATCACCTCAACTTTTAAAGACGGCATACCAAAACCCCAAGCAAATATCACATCCAATGGAGAAACCTTAGAAACATCCCCATCTAGATTGGCAAGAAGATAAGGTGCCTGTTAGCATTGCTGCTATGTAACAAAGAGCCAGAGTCAGGGCCACTGTTATAAAACAAGAAAAGGAAATGGGAGGTGTAGAAGTCGGAAGGAGGAAAGAGATTAAAATGTTATTTGTGGACTATATGAAAATTTACATAGAAATTTCAACTAATTATTAAAACTAATAACAGGGTTGCTGGATGGATGTAAAGTCAACTTACAAAGACCAATAACACTTTGTCTATACCACATTAACCACCTATAATATATAGGAGAAAATAAGACATATATACATATAAGAAAATAGGATACCTTTCATAACAGCAACACAACCTATAAAATGCCTGAAAAAAAATATACTAGTCCTCTGTAAAGGAAATTTTTACCCTCTAATAAAGGAGATAAAAGTGGATCTAAATAAACAGAATAATCTGTGTTGTTGGATTGGACAACTTAATATTAAAGTATCAATTCTACCCAATTATTACCACAATTGTCGTCCTAATCAAACTCCAACTGTCCTTTTTTAGGAATGCAATACATTTATTCTAAAATTTATAAGGAAGAATAAAAGTTCCCAAATTACTACCATAATTTTTTTAAAGATGTTACAGGATCTCTGGGGTGTCGACTTTTCTGACTGGAAACCTCTGTGGCCACGGCGCCTTTGCCCGAGTTCTTGTCCTGTGTCCAGGAAGAATGAGGTACACAGACAAGTGATGGGTAAAGAAGAAGAGTTTTATTTAGTGTTAGAACAGCTCAGAGGAGTGGGTAGCTCCTTTCTATAGGCAGGTCCTCCGTTGAGTGTTCCTCTCTCAGCAGAGGAGGCCTGGAGAGGGTGGCTCCTGTCTGCAGGCAAGTCATTCGGAGGTCTCTGCAGGTCTCTGAAACTCTCAGCAGACAGGGTAGCTCCTCTCTGCACACTGGTCATCTCTGCAGCTCTCAGCAGAGAGGGTACTCCTCTCTGCAGCTCTCAGCGTAGAGGGTACTCCTCTCTGCAGCTGGTCGTCCTGTCCCATCATCTCTCTGCCCTCTTCATCTTCTGGCCATCCTCCATGCCTTAAGTCCGGCAGCCGCACTGTTCGCTTTTAACTGGCTGTCAGAGGCCCGGTATTTTTCTTTCATTTTGACTATTGTGGAGCTTAGGGACTCCGAAGAAAAGGACAGAAAGATTTGCTTTTACTCACCCTTCCACAGATCCCAGATGAGCCAAGAAGAATGTATCTCACCAGAAGGAAGATAACCCAAAAATCATAGTAATAAGAAGGTAAAGTGCTGGCATCATAAACCAAAATAGAGAACTTGGATATAGACCCACGTGTGTACAAGAACTTGGTTTATGGCAGAGAAGCCACCACAAGTCAGTGTAGAAAGAAGAACATGTGTAGCAAATGATTGCTGAGAAAACTAGCTCCTTAATAGGGGGTGGAGGGTGTTGGATTCCCACCACACCCATATGCAGAGGTGGGCTCCAGGTGAATTAAAGATCTCAATGTGAAAGATGTAACTATAAAGGCAATAGAAAAAATTACAATCATGTATTTGATACCTGGGGTTGGATTCAGGGAAGCTTTCATAAGAAAGACCTAAAAAGCACAAACTATAAGGCAAAACTTGATGTTTTCCCTATATAAAAATTAAGAATTTATATTCAAAACTGGATTTCCAAATGCAAAAGAATGAAACTGGACTCTTGTCTTACACCATACACAAAAATCAACTCAAAATGGATAAAAGATCTTAAAGGTAAGACCTGAAACCATAAAACTCCTAGAAGAAAACAAGCGGGAAAAAGTTTTCGACATTGGCCCTGGCAATGACTTTTTGGATACCACACCAAAACTCAGGCTACAAAAGCAAAAATAAATCAATGGGACCGCATCAAACTAAAAAGCTTCTGCACAGCAAAGCAAACAATCGACAACAAAAAAAAAGGCAACCAACAAATCAGAGAAAAATATTTGTAAACCATGTATCTAATAGGGAGTTAATATCGAAAATGCCTTTTAAAAACGCATACAACTCAACAGCAAAAACAACAAACAATCCACTTTAAAAATGGGCAAAGAACCTGAATAAACATTTCTCCAAAGAAGACATAGAAATGGCCAGCAGATATATGAAAGATGCCCGACATCACTAATGATCAGGTAAATGCAAATCAAAACCACTATGAGATACCACCTCACATCTGTCAAGGTGACCATTACCAAAAAGACTAGAGATTACAAGTGTTGGTGTTGGTGTGGAGAAAAGGGAACCTTCCTTGTACACTACTGGTGAGAATATAAGCTCGTTTAGCCATTATAGTAAACAATATAGAAGCTCCTCAAAAAAATTAAAAATAAAATTACCTTATAATCCAGCAATCCCATTACTGGCCATATACCCAAAGAAAATGAGATCACCACCTCATAAAGATATCTGCACTCCCAAGTTCATTGCAGCATTATTCACAATAGCCAAGATACAGAAACAGCCTAGATGTCTGTCAGTGGACAAATGGATAAAGAAACTATGGTATGTATACACAGTGGAATATTAATTAGGCTTTATAAAGGAGATCCTGCCATTTGACACAATGTAGACAGAGCTGGAGGACATTATGCTAACTGAAATAAGCCAGATACAGAAAGACAAATATAGTGGATCAAACTTATATGTGGAATCTTAAAAAAGAAAAAAAGAAAGAAAGGCAAATACACAGAGATAGAGAATAAAACAGTGGTTACCAGGAGTAAGGTGGGAGAAAGAAATGGGAAGATGTGAGTCAAAGTACACAGAATAGCAGATATGTAGGATGGACAAATCTAAAGATCCAGACATGAGGACTTTGGTTACTAATAGTGTATCACATTGGGAATTTTTGCTAAATGAGTATATTGTAACTACTCTTACCAAAAAAAAAGTGCTAATATAAGATGATGGATATGTTACTTTACTTCACTATAGTAATTATTTTACTATCTACATGGATCTCGTAACATCATGTTGTATGCCTTAAATATACACAATCAAATTTATTTTTTAAAAAATCTAATTGATACAACTCAGCACTCTGGAGGACCCACCATAGGTAAAAGTTAACTTATTATGACCATTCAGGGGCAAAAAGAATTTCTATTTAAGGGATACCGTAGACAAGGCCAGGTGCAGTTGTTCACACCTATAATCCCAGCACTTTGGGGGGCCAAGGTGGTTGGATTGCTTGAGCTCAGGAGTTTGAGACAACCTGGGCAACACTGCAAAACCCCGTCTCTACCAAAAATACAAAAATTAGCTGGGCATGGTGGCACATGCCTGTGGTCCCAACTACTGGAGAGTCTGGGAGGATCACTGGAGCCCAGGAAGTTGAAGTGTCAGTGAGCCATGTTTGTGCCACTGTGCTCCAGCCTGAGTGACATAGCAAGATCCTGTCTCAATCAATCAATCAATAAAGAATACCATAGACAAAACTAACATATGGAAGCCTGATTAGAAAAAGGCATTTGCAATGTCTAAAAGTGAGTAAGTATTAATGGCCGGCCACCATAGCTCATACCTGTTATCCTAGCACTTTGGGAGGCCAAAGCAAGAGAATCACTTGAGCTCAGGAGTTCAAGACCATCCTGGGCAACATAGTGAGACCTCGTTTCTATTTAAAAAAAAAAAAACTGACTAAGCATTAACAGAACATACAAGAAAGGAAAGCTAATAGAAAATTAAAATTACAGTGACAGAAACATTTAATCCCATCAGAATGGAAAACCTAGGAAAGTATATATAATTGGCATCTGTCATTCATGGCTCCCCAAAATCTTTTGTCTTTTTTTGTGACAGGGTCTCTCTCTGTCACTCAGGTTGGAATGCAATGGTGCAGTCACAGCTCACTGCAGTCTTGACTTCCTGGGCTCAAGCAATCCTCCCACCTCAGCCTCCCAAGTAGCTGGGAGTAGAGGGAGGTGCCACCACACCCAGCTAATTTATTTTTTGTAGACACAGGGTTTCACTATGTTTCCCAGGCTGGTCTTGAACTCCTGGGCTCAAGTGATCCTCTGGCATCAGCCTCCCAAGGTGGTAGGATTACAGGCATGAGCCACCATGCCTCCAGCCTTCCCAAAATCTTTTTTTTTTTTTTTTTTTGGAGACAGGGTCTCACTCTGTCACCCAGGCTGAAGTGTAGTGGCATGATCTTGGCTTACTACAACCTCTGCCTCCTGAGCTCAAGCAAGCCTCCCAGCTCAGCCTCCCGAGTAGCTGGGACTATGGGTGTGCACCACCATGCCCGGCTAATTTTTGTGTTTTCAGTAGAGATGGGGTTTCACCGTGTTGACCAGGCTGGTCTCAAACTCCTGGCCTCAAGTGATCCAGCTGCCTCAGCCTCCCAAAGTGCTGGGATTATAGGCGTGAACCATCACGCTCAGCCCCCCAAATCTTTTGAACACCTCTTCCCCAAGTGAACATTGCCTTCCTAACACTGGAGGGTGGGGAGGAGCCCACATTTTTGAGTCTCAGTTATTGTTAGGGAATGGACATGGGATTTAGGTTCCACTAACCACATATGGGCCCATGACACTTAGATTTAGACCTGAGTTATGTGGGGAAGAGGGAAAGTGCAGAGGTCCCATTGTGGTTGGTAGCAGAAGCCGTGCACTGTTGGAGCTGGCGGCTGATGGGGCTTCCTGCTCTAGAAACTCTTGACTGAGGCAGAGGCAAGGGGCTGGTCTGCGGTATCACACGGGAAGTCATTCTTGAAAGCTCATTCTTGAGTCTGTTTCTTCCAAGCTCCAAGATCCTATGATCTACTACAAACCCCGAATCAATCCTTTTCTTCTTAAACTGAGTAGAGGGGATTCTGCAGCTAATAACCTTATCAACAGATTTGCTCCTACCAGGTGTTAATGAGAATTCACTTATTCAACAAATATTTACTGTATGACTTCCAGGGAGACAAAATCTTTTTTCACTAGGAGCTTCTAAGTTTGTGGAGACAGACAATAAAGAAATAAACGTGTGGGGTGTGTGTGTGTGTGGTGTGTGTGTGGTGTGTGTGTGTGTGTGTGGTGTGTGTGTGGTGTGTGGTGTGTGTGTGGTGTGTGTGTGTGGTGTGTGTGTGTGTGTGGTGTGTGTGTGGTGTGTGTGGTGTGTGTGGTGTGTGTGGTGTGTGTGTGTGGTGTGTGTGTGGTGTGTGTGTGTGGTGTGTGTGGTGTGTGTGTGGTGTGTATGGTGTGTGTGTGGTGTGTGTGTGTGCGGTGTGTGTGTGCGGTGTGTGTGTGGTGTGTGTGGTGTGTGTGGTGTGTGTGTGTGGTGTGTGTGTGGTGTGTGGTGTGTGTGGTGTGTGTGTGGTGTGTGGTGTGTGTGTGGGTGTGTGTTGTGTGTGTGTGGTGTGTGGTGTGTGTGGTGTGTGTGTGGTGTGTGTGGTGTGTGTGTGGTGTGTGGTGTGTGTGTGTGGTGTGTGTGTGTGGTGTGTGTGTGGTGTGTGTGGGGTGTGTGTGGGGTGTGTGTGGGGTGTGTGTGGGGTGTGTGTGGTGTGTGTGTGCGGTGTGTGTGCGGTGTGTGTGGTGTGTGTGTGGTGTGTGTGTGGTGTGTGTGTGGTGTGTGTGTGTAGTGTGTGTGTGGTGTGTGGTGTGTGTGTGGTGTATGTGGTGTGTGTGTGTGGTGTGTGTGTGTGGTGTGTGGTGTGTGTGTGGTGTGTGTGGTGTGTTTGGTGTGTGTGTGGTGTGTGTGTGGTGTGTGTGTGGTGTGTGTGGTGTGTGTGTGGTGTGTGTGGTGTGTGTGTGGTGTGTGTGTATGGTGTGTGTGTGGTGTGTGTGGTGTATGTGTGGTGTGTGTGGTGTGTGTGTCGTGTGTGTGGTGTGTGTGGTGTGTGTGTGGTGTGTGTGTGGTGTGTGGTGTGTGTGGTGTGTGTGTGTGTGGTGTGTGTGTGTGGTGTGTGTGGTGTGTGTGTGTGGTGTGTGGTGTGTGTGTGTGTGTGTGTGTTTGAGAGATGTCAAGTGGTGGTACGGGCTATGGAGAAACATTTTAAAGCTCAGCAAATGAGGTCGCTATTTTATATGGATGGGTCAGGAAGTCTTTCACAAGGTGCCCTTGGAGCAGAAACCAGAAGGGATGAGGACAGCGTCATGGGGACACCTGGAGAGAGAGCATTTCTGCAGAAAAAAGGGCAGAGGTGAGAGAAGGCTCGCCTTGTTTTTGGACTGGCGAGGAGGCCAGTATAGTGGAATAGAGAGAGTGAAAGTTACATCGCTCCCACTCATCAGAAAATTCAACACACACACACACACACACATGCGCACACACACCTGCCATACATGCACACACACACCCTGCTATGTGCACACACATATGCACGTGCACACACACAGAGACATGTGCACACCCTGCCACACACACGTACGTGCACCCATGCACACACCCTGCCACACACAAGGGCCTGGGAGCTATCCTCCTACATATGTCTTAGGAAGTTGTGCACGTGCCTGAGCTCTTCAAACTAGATGTAGACAGGAACGAGCTCAAGGCGCAGAGGAAACCTTGGGGGCCATCAGCCCTTTACAGGAGGAGAAACAAGAAGCCAACAAAGGCGACCTGGAAGAATGGTCGGTGCAGAGAAGAGGAAGGGAATGGAAGTCAGCTTGCAAGTCAGGCGGCCACTGACTGCTCTCGTGAAGCTGGAGGAGGTGGCAGTGGAAGACGTCGAAGCCTGGAGAGAACACAGATTCCAGGTCCAGGGGGGCGGTCAGTGGTGTGTTTTCAAGACAGTGCAGGAGCTGAGCCAGGCTGTGCATGAAAGAGCGCACGTGTGAGAAGCGGAGAGGGTTGTGTGTCTGTCAGGAAATCTGGTGAGAACTGGGATGGAGCCCAGGGCAAGCTTCTCATGGTAAGGGGGGCACTCATGAAGGGAGCTTCTTCGTTACTCGAGAAGCTGAATAATTAACATATCTAAAGGGACAAAGCGCCATGAACCAGAGGATGTGGGAAGATTTGGAATCCAATCTCCCTTTCCTCTTATCCAGGAGGAAAGGAAGAAAGGGTTGACCTGCCAGGGACACTTGAGCCACCCTGCAGAAGTGGCAGGCTGGGGGATGGCCGCTGCCCATTTGCTAATTACAACACTTCCTCCACCTGTGAATGTGTGGACTTCGAAAACCATCACTAAATAGACCAGTACTCCAAGGCCTAGGAGAGCCTGATCCCACGAGATACTTAATGCATTTTGTTAATGTAACAAATGAATACAATGGGCACAGAATGTTCTTCAGCCTCATGTCTTACATTGTTTCATTAGAAAACGTTGAGTGCTGGCTACTGTACGGTATCTCTGTTACAAGACAGAGGGAGCCAGCTTGGCAATTCCCCTAATGAGGACAGGGACACTGAGATCCATTGTGATTGCTGTCAATCAACTTGGGCGAAAAGAAGGGGTGCAGCTCACCTTGGAGGAGAAAAGCGGGACTGGGTTACAGCCACAGAGTCCCTGTGGATGACCGACCCTCCCCCTAAGTTGGGGAGGAGGAGGACATGGAGAGCTGGGTACAAACAAGTTCACTGTACAGAGAGCACCCTGCAAAAGGGTGGCTGAACGCACTGGAGGCGATGTCTCGGCACCCACTCAGGGCCCTTTCTATTGGAAAATAAAAGGATTTTGTAAAGAAAATCCATTCTGACTAGTGCTTTTCTTGGAAAGCGAAACCTTTTGCAGAGTGCCTTATACACTGAGCTCAAATTTAGCCTAATTTGGATCTTCAAAGAAGGAAATCTCCCTGAGAGTGGTTCCAGAAAGGTAGGACTGGGGGCTTAAGAAGTGGGATAGGAATTAGAATAGCTGTCATGGGGCATGTGTCAGGGCAACGGCAGTGATTGAACTACTGATGAGCTGTCTCGGGTCGTTTTGAACCAGAGAGCACAGACATGTAGAAGAAGTCAGCAAAGCTGAGACCATCTCCAGAAACATCCCACAGTGCAGGAGCGGGGACCTCACAGCAGGAAGCAGCTCAGGCCAGGGAGTGAGAGACCCTCATGCTTGCATCCCTCTGAGCCAGCAAACCCACTCCCAGAGATGTTCCTCGGGAGGCGATCAGGAGGTTCTCAAAGACATTCTCCCAAGACCCTGCACGGCAGCTCTACACATAATACCAGAAATTCAATACCCACTGAGGATAGATCGGCTAAATTACAGTATAATAGATTAAATAATAGTATTTAAGTGTGAAAAGAGCTAACATTAATAATGGAGATATTTTTTCAATCAGACAACATTCAGAAGGGATTTTCTTAACAAAATCACTAGAAAGAGGTTCACAAAACACTGCTGAGTGAATAGCAAGTTTCAAAATGCAATCCTATATATGTTTTTAAAAATGCATTACCTATATCGACTAGACCCACAGATATCTCTGAGGATATTCACCACTGTGTAAACAGTGGTTATCTCTGGGTGGTAGGCTTAAGGAAGTTTTTTTCTTTATTCTTTAAAATTCACTGATTCATCTGAATTTTCACTAAGTATGTGAGTTATATTTATGACCAGAAAAACACTGAGAAGTATCCAAGGGGAAGACCACCAAGGACCTCGCAGACGCATCACCTTGTGCACTGACTACATTGTAGGGTCCTGTCTCAGCTCTGCTAGCCCAGAAACTCTGCTTAGCACCTGCATCAGTGAAGACCACCACCAACTCTGGCTTAAACAGACAGGAGCTTATTTTCTACAATGTCCAGAACAAGGCAAGTGGGGGCTGGGGCAGCTTCTCATGGATGTCACCAAGGAGCCACAGCCCCTCTCTCTCTCCTTCCTCTGATATCCTTGAGTGTAGCTTTTGTCTTCATTGTCACAAAATCGCCGCTGCACTTCCAAGCCTCACAATCATGTTCTAGGTAGAAAGAAATGGGAAGGGCAAAAAGGTTTTCTCCAGCAGGGCTTTACCTTTGTTATCGTGAAAAAGGATACACTCCCTATAAACTTCCGCCCACGTTGCATTGGCCAGAACTGTGGCACACAGCTCCCCTGAGCTTCAGGAGGGTCTGGAGGGTGAGTATTTTAGCTGGCATGTGGATTCTACTAACAGGGAAGAATGGAAAATAGATAACAGTGGCAACTGTCAGTGGTGCACAGCCTCCCTGGGGAATCGTTCTAGCAGAGAATGGTTCCTGCCCGCAATAGACTGATAGATGAACCAGGGTCCAGTGGATTCGTTCCCACTCCAACCACCAGAATGACCTTCCCACCAGAACACTGTCTTTCCCAGGATCAGAGAACTGGTACGTAAAATTGTTAAACTAAACATTGCCTGTGAACATGGAATTTGGTCCATGGCAGGTGCTAATATTGGAGGGCATCTCCCCAACGCTATGATATGGCCTGATGACTCTCCCTGCCCGAGACATCAGCGCTCCAGCATCCTGGATGCTCACAACACTCAAATTCCATGTCCCCCGGACAGTGCTGGGCAGACACCGTCAACATCCATCTCTCGGACTCCCCATTTTGTGGGTTGTCTATCCCCAAGTCGCCCTTCCTCTGCTCGCATTATTTATTTAGCTTTATTAAAGTCATGTCTGATTTACCTTTGGCCTAGAAGGCAACCTGTCTCCTGCCATTTGCATTGATTCTAGTAACCAAGCTCTCCTGGGGGCCTTTCTTTTGTCCCCACAGGGGCAGCCAAGTGTTAAGCTCTGCAGACTCATGAAGCCAGCGATGTTGGGCTAGTGAGGGCTCTCTCCCTGTGTCTTGCCAGCACCTCAAAATTCTATCCTCCCAGGAGTGGTTGCAGTGTTAAGGGCTGTTTTGCGCAGAGAAGAAAAGGTTGAGGGGACCCGAGCATTTGCCTAACATATCTGAGTCGTTGTCAGAGGCTGGGCTTATGGAGCAGCTGGAAGGAGAAGCAGGACCAACAGATGCAAGGCACTAGAAGACAGATTTCGCCTACAACAGGCACTGTCCAGCGAAGTCAAGCATGCTCTGTTCCTGGACAGGGGTCCATCCATCTGGGCTGTGGTGGAGGGGATTTTCATTTTGCATGGATTCAAAGGAACATTCCAGCAGTAAGGAAAGTACATTCACCACCACTCCAGGTTCAATCCCCCAGAGTTTTAAATTTCTCCCATCTTTTTCTGGTTTCCCTTCTCCTTCTGAGAAATTTAGACATCTTTTTTTAAAATGTCCTTACTGCCAGCCTCTCCATCACATTCCTGGTCCCAATCCAGACCTGAGTGTGGAAGTGTGAACCCCCTTTTCTAATAGGACATCTGAGGCCACCATGGGATTTGCTAAAGGAATTGTTATGGGGTTCTCATTCAAAGGAAAATGCAAAATGTTGTCATGTTTGTGGAGTAAAGAACTAAGATACGTGAGTCAGCCCGTCAGTCTCCCTCATGTTTCCTGGCCTCCCATGCATTTCAATGGGGCCATGAAACTGGCTCCAAGCAAAGCTCCAAGCTGGTGTGTCTCTTCGGTCACCACCTGGTAGCCACTCTCCACATGGCAGCCACTACAGAGGCCGCCTGCTGAGAGGGCAGAGTCACAGGATGTGAGCCCCTCGACCTCTGTCATGGCAGGGAGGAGCACTGCCTGGGACCTTGCCCTAATGAGAAATAAACCACGGTTGAGGTTTATTTCTTAACCATGGTTAAGGTTTTGGAGTTGGCTTACTACAGCAGTGAGCATGGCTTAACCTAACTAAACACTTGCCAAGCTTTTCACATATCCTTTAAATTGCATGACCACATATGGGGAGATCCTGTCACTAACCACTTTACAGGTACAATAAATGAGGTCCTTTAAGCAATGACTCTGAGGTCACACAGCCAGCACATGTTGGAGCTCATATTTGAACCCAAGTCAATCCAACTCCAAGGCAAATGTTTTCCCCACTCTATACTAACTCCCTTTCTTCAAAGAGGATAGTCCCAAATTAATTCTGTTGACTGGGGATTCTTTTTCCTCCCCTAAACCCCATCTAGAGAACTCAACCCAAAAGAACTTCTTTATATGCTCAAAGCTCTCCTCTATACCTCGCTCCTGTCCACTCTGCAAGCCCCTCAGCCAAGAGACAGCTGGAGGAGCATCCTCCAGCTAGAGAAAACATGACCACACACCCAGGCCTAGGCCACGCACGCCCGGGCCCCTTGCTTCACCACACAGAAAGCTGGAGGCTGTTTCCCACAAATACAAGTTGACCTAGAGGACATGTAAGTCCCATTTTAATGTCCAAGTGCTAGAATTTCATGAAGTAGCTGAAAAGTTATGAGGGCTCAAGTGTAGCAACAACAGTGGGATGAACTGGGTCAATCAGGGAGGGAAGGACACCTGGATCTGAGAACGCTGATCAGGGAGGTGAAGGACAGGCTGGAGATGCAGGCAGTGCTGACCAGTGGGGAAATGCCAAGTCTGGGATCTCAGAAGCCTGATGCAGCTAAGGCCAAGACAGGATGGAGTTCAGGTATGTCTACAGCGAGGTGGAGATGGAGGGAGCCTGCAAGTTATGCTCACCATAATGTGTGTGCCCCAGGAATGGAGTGACGAGAAGTCAGGATCATCCAGGAGAGGGGGTAAGGCCAGAGGGCACCAGCCACACAGATTGTTGGGACTGTGTGTTGCAAGGGATGGCGTGCCTTTGAAGTGGAGTGGCAGAGGGTGGGGTGCGGGAGCGAGCGCAGGTCACAGTGCCTCCTGTCCTCCTAGAGTGGAGAGAAGTTGATTCTCTAAGAAGGGGAGAGAGCAGTTTGGATCCTATGGTGTGAGATGGCTTTCCCCTTACCTTCTTGGAAATTGCCCTGGACCATCGAGCAGAAAGGAAAACCAAAACACAGTGGCCATACCTGATGAAGCTAGGAGACAGATAGGTCTCTGAACAATATCCTCTCCAAATGGAGTGAAGACTGCGCATGCAGGATGAGAGGAGAGAGTCCTTGGCAGTGGTGGCTCAGGAGGATGAGGGTGCAGCCCAGAGAGAAAACCTGGGACTCCTCACTTCCAACAGTGGAGGCAGACCCCAGGGGGCCTCCCAAGACCGAATCGGATCCCAAGAAGCAGAGGCGGGTGAAGGTGCAGTCACACTGATGAGCGCTTTTTGTAGGAAGCAGTCTGTCCAGAGGACCCATGGAGATGCGCCACCCAAACCCTGCTTTGAGGAAGGACCTGTCCCACCTTCTGCAAGTGCCATCAGGGGCGACCTCGAGCTGTCAGCCTCGCCAGGGCTTCTTCAGCTGAGGACCACTGCTCATCCAGGTCACATCAGCTTGTGTGCAACCCATATCCAAAGACTAATGGAAGCAGAAGTATCAAAGTTCACCACATCTGCCCAACCCCAGACAACTCTCTTGTTCCTTTCGGCCCCGGACCTCCTCATGGGTGAGCAGAGGCTGTCAGGCTGCATCCCAGCCCAACAACTGCCTCTGCCCATTCCTGCTTCCCCTCCTCCCTTCCTCAGGCATTGACCCAAGGGCACATATAATAAGCATCCTAATCCAGACTGTGACCCCTGAGGCAGCAGAAGAGTGCCCCCGCCAAGATGTCCTCATTATAATCTCCAAAACCTGTGAACACGCTACTTTACTTGCCAAAAGGGACTTCGCAGGTATGATTAAATGAAGGATCTTGAGATGCTGAGATTAGCCTGGATTTTCCAGGTGGGCCCAATGTAATCACAAGGGTTCTTATGAGAGGCAGGAATGTCCAAGAGAGAGATCTGGAGATGCTGTGTTTATGCATTTGAAGATGGAGGACCAGGCCATAAGCTAAGGGATGTCGTTGACCTCCAGGCACTGAAAAAGACAAGGAAGTGGATTCTCCCCTAGAACCACCAGAAGGAACATAGCCCTGCAAACATCTTGACACCACTTTATATCTTACAGTTCTGGAGATCCAAAAGGGGTCATAAATCATTTTGCCCACTATGACCCCTTTTGGATCTACAGAACTGTAAGATATAAAGTTGTGTTATTTTAAGCCAAATGTGCATTGTTCTAAGTTTGCAGTGTTTGTTACTACAAATATGAAAGTAATACACACCCTAACGCAACAGCAGAAGAAAGACTTTGCATTGCAGACAGCTCTACACCTTCCTATCCCTGCTGAGCGGAGAAAAGAAAAAGTTTAAACAAATTCTGTTTTTTAAAATATATGTATAATTCACAGGTTCATTTGTGTCAGCCTAGAATGGCCCCGGCCCCTACCTCTTACGAACCTCCTGCAAATATCTGGTCCAAGAAAAACTTGTCTGCATCAAAGAAGGATAATATTTAGATCTATACACAATCTATACAAAAATATTATAGACTAAAAATGAGAGAAAAATGGCAGATAAAAAACACTTGTCAAAAATGTGTTGCAATGAACAGATGAAAAGCATATCCAAATATTTTGCCATGAATTTTTTAAACTTAAGTAACAGCTCAAGAAAGAGATGGTGAGAAAACAGAAGGATATGAAAAGAAAGCTGGCAAAACCCAGGAAAGAGTAGAATCAAAATTTAAATCATCACAAAAATGAAGACAAAACTGGAAGCAGCACGAGAAAGTACTTCGGAACCCAGAAGGGGGAAACGGATTAGACGGGCGAGCGAAATGAAAGGCAAACAAAGAGAGAAAGTGACAGCTATGAAGGAAGGCAGAGGAGCTGCAACTCCCACAAAATTGGAATGCACGAAGAAGAAACACAGCCACAAAACAAATATTTTAAACAATAATTCATGCACAGTTCCCTAATGAGACAAGGCACTTTTTCATGTTTCTTGGCCATTTGGCTGTCCTATTTTGCAATGTGCTTGTTCTGTTCTTTTACTCATTTATTTTTCTATTGATTCCAGTGCCTTTTTCATGTTGATTTGTAAGGACTCTGTACATTCTGAATAGGAGTCTTTTGTAGGTTATGTGCACTGCACATACCTTCTTCCCCTCTGTGATTCAGCTTTTTTTCCTCTCAGAGATGTTTTGTTTTGTTTTGTTTTTTGTTTTAGGCAGAGTCTCACTTTGTCACCCAGGCTAGAGTGCAGTGGCGTGATCTCGGCTCACTGCGACCTCCACCTCCCGGGTTCAAGCAATTCTCTTGTCTCAGCCTCCGGAGTAGCTGGGATTACAGGCATGCGCCACCTCACCCGGCTAATTTTTGTATTTTTAGTAGAGACGGGGTTTCCCCATGTTGGTCAGGCTAGTCTCAAACTCCTGATCTGAAGTGATCTGCCCGCCTCAGCCTCCCAAAGTGCTGGGATTACAGGCGGGAGCCACCCCACCTGGCCATACAGATGTGTTTTTAATAAACTTCTATTTTCGAATAATTTTAGGTTTACAGAAAAGTTGCAAAGATAATGCAGAGTTCCACATAGGCTTCACCCAGCTTCCCCTAACGTTAACATCTTAAGTTACCACAGTACATTTGTCAACACTGAGGAACTGACAGTGGTGCAATACTATTAATTAAACGAAACACTCTTCACCACTCTTTCCATTCATGTCCTTTTGCTGTTTCGGAATCCAATCCCGGTCACTGCGTTTCACTTCATTGTCATGTCTCCTTAGGTTTCCTCCTCCCGCGTGTGACCATTTCTTAGTCCTTTTTTAGGATCTTGACACCTTTGAAGATTAAGTATTTTGTAGAATGTCCCTCATTTTGGGCTTGTCTGATGTCTTTGGACGATTAGACTGGGCATATGTGTTAGAGGCGAACCACAGACGAGAGGCGCCCTTCTCCTCACTTCATATCTAGGGCACGTGATCTCAGCATGGCTCATCATGGGGAATATTAGCTTTGAGCATTTGGTTAAGGCTTTCCCACTGTAATGTGACTCTTCTGCCTTTTCCATATTCCGTTCTTTGGAAGCAAGTCCCTAAGTCTAGCTCATGCTGAAACTCATATTTCTGGAGGGAGGAGCGTCTACCTACTTTAGAATTCTTCTGTATGGAAGACTTATCCCGTCTTCCCATTTTATTTACATACTCAATCATGTATTTATATCAGTTTGTACTCACAGATATTTATTTTATTCTTTAGTTTATAATTCACTACTATTGTTATTTACTTTGCTGCTCAAATTGTTCCAGCTTTGGCCACTGGAAGCTCGTTCAGGCTGGCTCCTCTATCCTTGTGATATGTCCTTGTCATTGTGGGAATTTGTATGGGTACTCCCTAAAGATGTCTCTTGATAAACAGAAATTCTTCATTTTAGTGTAGTCATATGAACTAATGTTTTCCTTTAGATTTAGTGCTTCTAGTTTCCTGCTATTACTTTCTAAAGGTATTTTTTGTTTTGTCTTTCACAGACAGATTGTGATCAGGAAGCATCACACAGGAGCTTCTAGGGGGCCGGTGAGTTCGATTTCCCAACCTAGATGGTGGTTGTCTGAGTGAATCAAGTATGAAAATATAGGCACACTCACCAGCAAGAAATAGGACATGAGCAGCTAGAAGCGCAGGTGCAGGCTAAAGGAAGAAGAGGAAAGGCACTTGTGGCATAAATGGCAGGGGTATGAAACACAGAATCACAGTGGGCTCTGCTATGCTCCAGCGGCCCAGCTCTCCTTCCTTTTGGAAATTGCCCCTCACACAGCTTTGCATGGTTCAACTACACCACAGAGGAAGAATCACGTGGCACATGCCTGGTCATCCTAGATTAATTCAAGAAGGATGGGCACATGACCCAAGCAGGGCCAATTTTCCATTTGATGCTGCTGATTTAATTTTATTTCTTTTTCTTTAGAGACAGGGCCTCACTCTGTTGCCCAGTCTAGAGTACGGTGGCACTATCATAGCTCACTGCAGCCTCAAAAACTCCTGGGCTCAAGTGATCCTCCTACCTCAGCCTCCTGAGTAGCTGGGACTACACCCAGCTAATTCTGTTTTTTGTTGTTGGCGGGGGTAAAGATGGGGTCTCTTTATGTTGCCTAGGCTGGTCTCAAATGCCTAGGCTCAAGCAATGCTCCCACCTCGGCCTCCCGAAATGTTGGGATTAAAGGTGTGAGCCTCTGCATCCAGCCTGGTTATTTCTATTAAAGAGAAACAGGGCTTCCCTCATGAGAGCTGCATTTGTAAACATCACAACCTGGAGCTACCAGTCGCTTTCTTAAAGCCACAGAAAGATACTGCCAGAGAATGAACCCAACAAGAGTAAAGCAGAGCCAAAGTTGGCGACAGACTGAGCTCTCAGGACATCAGTTGATCATGTAAATCCAGCCTAACCTAAAACCAGTAATATCCTGCCCTTCTATGTTATAGCACCCAACAGATTCCCTTTTAGCATAAGCTAGTTGGAGTTGGGTTTCTGCAACTTCCAACATAAAGTGCCTTGTCTAATAAAAATGTGTTCAGAAGACAGAGAGCAAGGCTTCAGTTAATATGAAGGTAGAGTGAGGGGAAGAAATGAGTTGACCTTGAACTTTACCACCAGTAGAACAATGGTTCATAGGACACACTGGGGAGTGAAAATTTTAGGAAGCTGGGAAAAGAGAAAAAGGCTAAGATAGATGGGGCAGAAGGGAGTAAGAATAAGGATCAGAGGAGAGCAACAGCCTGGGCCTTGTGACATGAGCAGGCCCGTGCCTGGAATGCATCTCCAACAGCCAGCACTTCAGGTGATCTGAGGACATTGCCAGACAGTGGAATCCTGCGAATGTCCCTCCAGCATCTCACTCTTTTGAAGTAAAATCACTTCCTTGGTTAGAAGTAATTTGTATGTAATACTGTCATGGTCAAGAAGACACTTATTAAGAAGCTGAGGCCGGGTGCAGTGGCTCACGCCTGTAATCCCAGCACTTTGGGAGGCCAAGGTGGGCAGATCACCTGAGGTCAGGAGTTCAAGACCAGCCTGGCCAACATGGTGAAAGTCCATCTCTACTAAAAATACAAAATTAGCCGGGCATGATGGGGCACACCTGTAGTCCCAGCTACTCAGGAGGCTGAGGCAGGAGAATTGCTTAGAACCCAGGAGGCTGAGGTTGTAGTGAGCCAAGCTCATGCCACTGCACTCCAGCCTGGGCAAGAGAGGGAGACTTCATCTCAAAAAAAAAGAAGAAGCTGAGCACTTAGTACTAGCAGGATGCAGACCAGACTTGGTGAGGGAAAATCCATAGCGTTGAGCCCAAATCTGGGCCTCTGTCTCTGCTGCCACAGGCATTTTGTACACGGGCCCATTGAGAGATCACTGGGATGGCTGGGGGAAGTGGAGGGGAGGCTGACCAGTGTCCACAGACTGGGTTGCGTTTACTGAGAGCCTCTTCTGGAGTATTCACATGGGACACAAATATCCTCACATGTTCAGGGTTCACCCACCTCCCTCTTCCTCAGGTTGTTCTATCACCAATCATCCATCTGGGTCCCTGCCAAGCCTCTGAGTCTCTGGCCAGATATTTTCCATTGCCCATGAATTACTGTTGAGCTTCACTCCAGCCCATCCATTCTTCCAGGTAAAGTGTGCATGCCCATAGACTAGATCTCAAAACTGATTTAAGTAGGAAGAGAGGCAGCAGTATGGAAGGCATCCATTTTCCACCAACAATTGTGACAACAACATTTCTGCCTGCAGATTGCAATGAACGGCGTTGTGTTTGGGGAGAAACAGGCATAGCCATGGCTTCCTGATCCTGGATTGCAGCTAGTGGGTGATTCTGGTGTCCGCTTCCTGGTTGATGGGAGAGGTAGCAGTTCCCTTGCCAGTTCCTTGCTGGTGTTCTAAGAGTGGGTCTAGAAACAGTCTTCCAATTTGGCAACATTTTTATAGGCACTTAATTCTCTGTATTAAATCCTTTTCTGATTTAAACGGCTAGAGTTAGTTCTATTGTCTGCAAGTCAAGTCTGCCTGATACCCCTGTTACAGAAAGGAATAGAAGGAAAGTAGACTAGACAGATCTCGTTACCAGAGGAAAAGGAGAATTAAAGAGAAGGCCAGTAGGAGAGAAGGACGTATGAAAAGATACGCAGAAATAGAAAGATGCATGCAGGGACAGATGCAAGTGCAAAAATGACTCAAATTGCTATTCATTAAGACCCAAGAGGATGCTCCACATAAAGGTAAAAGGCCTTGCTGGGGACAATGGCCCATGGTTGAGAGATGACCAGTTGGTAATACGAAATTGGGAGGCTGACTTGCGAGGCTGGTGGGAAGTTGGTATGACGTTAGCAGAGAATGAGTGGAAAGTTGTTGAGAATGGTGGAGGATAGTGTGCAATACACTGGATAACTGTGACCTTGGGGGAATAAACAGCTAACTCTATCTTACCTTGGGCCTCAAATATCACAACTTCAGTGTGTGTCCAGTAGAATTAAAGTTCCTGGAGAAGCTGCTCAAATCTTTTAAAAATGATACAGAAAGACAAAGAGCATAATAATCGTTCATAGGACCATGCCAACTAGCTAAGAGACTGCTCCATATTCATTGTGAAGCAGCTACTAATGTTCTGAAGACATAAAACACTGTCCAGAAATAGTGAGTTGGAATAGGATTGCTGCTGTTGTTCATTGTCATTGTCGTTGTTGTCGTTGTTGTTAAAATACACTGATGAGGTGTAGGCTTGGTGGTAGAACAAGGGTGGCATGTGTGATTATGAGAATTCTATTTATAAGTCAGAAAAGTTCCCTTGGGATATTTCTAGACTGCCAAGAATTTGGCAGGTGCCCATCAAGAACTAGGACCCTGAACCATGTACATCCAATTAATTAAATAACCAATGCATCCACCTAGACTGGTGAATGTGACTGATTTACTTTGAGCTGCCAAGTATGTGCCTGTAGGCAATGGAATAATGACCCCAGACAGAGAAAATTTATAGCTCTTGGCACCTATTCTGACTCATTTCCTTCTTAGCCTACAGGAGGGTTTCAGGCTTCTAAAAAGAAACTCATTAATAGGGATTCAGTGGTCATCTTGCTGATGCCAGAGGTTGGAAGAGCTGGGTCTAGGTCTCCTGACTCTTTTTCTGGAATATGTTTATTTCTCTTTATCTAGGAAGTCCCCCTATTATATAATTACCTAACCTAAGACCCCTGTACTGAGTTAAATCATGTCCCCCAAAATCCATGTCCACCTGGTCCCTGTGGACGTGGCTTTCTTTAGAAATAAGGCCTTTGCAGATGTCATCAAGATGCCAAGAATTGCTGGCAACCACCAGAAGCTGAGAGAGGCAAGAAGACTCCTCCCTGGACCCTTCAGAGGGAGCATAGCCTGCCAACACTTTCAACTCCTGTCTTCCAGAACTGCCAGAAAGTCTGTTTCTGCCATTTAAAACTACCAGGTTTGTGGCATTTTGTTATAGCAGCCCTAGAAAACTTAATTCAACCCTGAAATCTTTATTATGTTTATTCAGTCTGTGCCCTTTGGACACATTGCCCTAAATAGGACATTTCCAGCACATAGGATACAGTAGTTAACTAGCATTTCATTAACGTCACCAGGTATATATTACACTTAAAATTTCTTAATAATTTCAATTAATAAACAGGACCAGATATGGATATTAATGGCCCACAATTGCTTGTTTGTTTAATATCCTCAAATCAATGCTGGGCCTGGTGGCTCACACCTATAGTCCCAGCTACTCTGGAGGCTGAAGCAGGAGGATTGTCAGAGCCCAGGAGTTTGAGGCTGCAGTGAGCTACGATGGCACCACTGCACTCCAGCCTGGGCAACAGAGTGAGACCCTGTCTCTAAAAAGAAAAAGAAGAAAATATATATATATGTATATATGTCCCCAAATCACCACATAAAAGAGAACAGAACCAGAATAGCAAAACCAAAACCCTTCCTGAAAACGTTTCCTGTTGTAGATCTATGGAGAATATCTACAACAAATCTGGGTGACAAGGTGTCCCCACAAACTCACAAACCCAAATTATGAATGTGTCCGGGCAAACTGCTGATAGCTTCAAGAGCAGCGTGATGTAAACAGTTGTGTAGGAAAGAGGAAGAGCAGGAAAAACAGCTGGGCCTCTGCTGGGCCCGGGGATCATAACAGCACAGCCCGTCTGGTGCGTGTCCAGGGACTCCCTGCAGGCCTGTCGGAGCGCAGCTGCCAGCACCGGGCAAGGGGTGTGTAGGTGCCGAGTCAGAGGTGAGAACAAGGGGACCTCAGTAAGATGGAACTGTGCTGGAGTGACCTGGACCCTGGGAATTCAGCACACTGACACACCACAGCTGCCTTCTGAGTCCAAATCTTGCACTGGGGAAAAACTGCTGAGAAAAGAATGTGAATTGATTGGGTTGGGGTCAATGGGGACAAAGAGAAGACAAGGCCCAGTTTAAAGTGAGGAGGAGATCAAAGGAGAGAGAGTGCTCAGAATGTGGGGTTCGTATCTTCTAACCCCGAGTGAAAGAACAGAAATCAGACTCTAGAGTCATAAAGTCCAAAAAAAGTTATCCTAGCCCAACCTTCTTCCCTAAAAGTACAGAAAATTCATTTTACTTAAGCATGAGCAGTGGGAAATAATTTCACATAAATATCATTCTAAGTTAATTTGAGAAAAAAGCGATGAGGAGCCAAATACTATCCTGCAGACAATGAAGGCTCACCAACCAGAATGACTTGGCCAAAGCACAAACCAACACTGGCCCTTCATAGTTCAAAATGAACAAAAATACACAAAGTGATGGATGCTATGAAGACCAGCATGAGTCAGAAGTAGAAAAGATCCAAAATAAGGAAATAAAACAATAGTATGAAAAGACAGAAGAGACTCAGATGTGAAATAAAAATTATTTTAGAAATGAAGTCTAAGTTAGAAGAACTGTCGGTGCAAATAGACACAGTGGATAATGTCTTAAATGAAATAAAGGATGAAAAAAGAAAAAAGTTTTAGTTAAAAGGTATGAACAAGGCAATGAAAAGAATACAAGAGAAAGTAACAGGAGGTGGACTAAGAAGATGAAGTATTCATATAATAAAAATCCCCAAGAAGAAAACAAAAGCCACAGAACAGAATAATATGGAAAACTAAATTTAGAATTTTCCTGAAATAAAGATACTTAAAACTGCATACTGTAATGGATATGGAAGCATATTGTACAATAGGAAAGTCGTCACAGGATCACCAACAGGGACATATGCTTGTGGGACTACACACTTTGAAAAGAAAAAAATCTTTGGATGTCCAGTTTAACAGACCAAGTTACTTATGGAAGGAAGTGGAGGAAAGATTAGGTTGCATTTAGATTTTTCAATGGCCATGCTTTATGCCAGAAGACAGTGAAGTAAAATATTTTAAGTACTCAAGGAAAGACAATGTGAGCCAAGACAACCTTTAAGTGGAAAGGCTATTGACAGATCTTAGTTATGTCTGCAAATGTTGGAGAACTCAGGGAGTGTCACTCTCATGCACTTTTACTGAAGAATCCACTAAAGAACAAGCTTCAAACAACACAAATGACTGGAAAGCCGTTCATACAAGGACTGGCTGTAAGTTCAGTGCCAAGATGAAACGATAATTATAAGGGCGGTCATGTAGAAGGTGAGGGCTGTGTTCTGACACTGTAGATAGATTACAACAGTCAAAAATCCAGGAGGGAGCCCAGCATGGTGGTGGCACCTGTGTCCCCAGCTACTCGGGAGGCTGAGGCAGGAGGATCACATAAACCCAAGAATTCGAGGCCACAGTGAGTTCTGATCACACGACTGCACTCCAGCCTGGATGACAGAGAGAGACCGCATCCCTTGAGAAAAAGAAAACAGGGGAGAGAGTGGGGAAAGTAGATAAAAAGTAAAACAAGCTTGCTGGTTGCCTTATAGGTAGAAACAGAAATTCAAAGAGTATCGCTTCAGAATATATGCTGGAGCAGACAAGGGAGGGAGAAGATATTACTAACCAATTTTAATCTTGCTTGAAGTAGGGAACTAATACAAAATAACCACAACTAGGAAGCTAAAAGTGTCATATAAAGGTATTAGAATAAAGGTATTTATTAGAACAAAAATTCAAACCTTCTAAATACCAAAAGAAAGCTAAAAAAATTGATCACATTGATATATCGATATAGACATAGATATGTGCATACAATGATATGTATAATAAAACAATGTGACAACTGGGGTCAAACACATAGATCAGATCAATCAATATAATGGGGCTTAACTCAGCTGTTAGAAGAAAAAGGTATCCATATTGGCAAAAAAGGAAAAATCCAATATTATACTATATATCAGAGGCAATACTAATACAAAGAGATTGCAAAAGTTTAAAAATAAAAGCTTATCAAAATGTTCAGTATAATTGAAAGATACAACAGGCAAATAAAAATTAAAAGAAATTATGAGTCACCATCTTGATATCCAACAAGGCAGGATTCAGACCAGAGAGCATTAAATGAGACACAGAAGGAGGCTACAGAATCCCAAAGTCTGCAATCATGATGGAGATCTAACAGTAGGTGCCACTTATATGGCAGTGGCTTAGCAACAACTGTCATGAAGCAGAAAATATAAGAGATGACAGGAGAAATATACAGAAACATGTTGTTTTAAAAAAAAATAAGAATATTTAACACACCTGTCTCAATCCAAGACAAATCAACTAGATAAATAGATAAATAGATGATAGAGATAGATAGATGATAGATAGATAGATAGATAGATAGATAGATAGATAGATAGATAGATAGATAGAAGAGAGAGATGAGAGAGATAGATGGATGATTGATTGATAGATACAAAGAAAATTGATAGATGATGGATGATTGATAGATATAAGATAGATAGATAGATACATAGATACATAGATAACAGAGATAGAAAGGTGATTGATAGATGATAGGTAGATAATTGATAGATGATAGATACATAGATAGATTAGATAGATGATAGATAGATAGATAGTATGTAGAAAACAAAATCATTAAAGTAGATATTATAGGTAAATTAAGCAATGAGGGTGGATGCCGTGATGTGTCACCCAGATTGTCTTTCTGAAATAAATGTCATAATCCCTACCTATGATGGAAAGTGCCACCAGAGGATGGCCCTCTGCTGTCCGCCCTCCCATGGATTTGCCTTGGCAGGAAAAAAACTGCCTCACCAAAGGTCACACCTCCTTCCGGAGCAGCCCACACTCAGTGATGGATTAACACGGGGATAGAACAGCCAGGCCCATCATTCCTACGCAGCCTCTCTGAAGGGCCCTGCCAGCCCTAGAGGTCACTGTGGGCTCAGCTGGGCTCTCTGTTGAGGTTGAGTCACAGGCGGACTTGTCCCTCTACCCAGTCCTCCCTCTTCTCCCTCCTTCCAGTCTCTGTCTCAGAGTCTGCTCCCAGGGAATTCAACCTGTGATGGAAATATATAAATTAAAAAGACACAGATACCATTTCTCATCTATCAAATTGGGCAAAGATCCAAAAGTGTGACAGCATAGTCTGTTGGCGAGGTTAAAGAAAGAAGTATTCCCACGTTGCTGGTGGGAACTTTAGCAATATCTTACAAAATTACATATGCATTGACCTTTGACCCAGCAAATCTTGGAATTCCTCCCAAAGATATAGTAGCAAAAATATGAAAGGATGTATGCACAAGACTATGTATTGTAGCAGAATTTTGTAATAACAACAAAGGACTGGAAACAAATGGCAACCACCAGGGGACCGTTTGAGTCAGCTATATCCAAATGATGACATACTACACAGCTGTGAGGGAATGAGGCGTGTCTCTTCTTACTGATGTGGACTCCTCTCCAGATACTAAGTGGATCAAGCAAGGAAGAAAAAAGTACGTATGGACATTTCATTCATCTAAAAAACACAAGTAGGGAAACTAGAGGCATACATACATACACTTGCTTATTTTAAAAAATGTTGAAAGGACAAACACAAATACCTTAACAGTTATCTATGGGAGAGGAGGGGAGTAGACAGGCATAGAAATGAGACTTCTTTGAATATACTTTGCTTTGTAGATTCAACTTTAGAATTAAACTTAAAATGCAAGTCCTAAAAATGAAAAGGGAAATTACACAAATGAACCATAATTACGGAACATAACCATGCAAGAAGGAATTATTCCAACCGACTTAAACACAGTAATTTCACTATACGTCCCTAGTGGGATATATTAAGGACAAAAAGAACTTCAAAAATATCACAAAGAGATTTCCAGTCACCATAGTGTTAGTTGTGGTGGTTGGTATTACTGCTCTGAGACTATTGCATGTGTGTTTGTTGTGAGATAAAGCCAATGAGTAATGATGTTGGTGCCATGAAGAGTCAGGATTTTCAGTGTGGGGAAAAGGGGATAAAGATGTAAGATCCATGAGGTTAAATTAAAACTCTGCAGTTCTGAATTAGAATTAGTGACAACAGCATGAACACATTATATAATGTCTTAAAAGGAATGCTTATTTCCTAGCTATAGCCATTGAAAGGACCCAGACCATCTAGTAGTAGTAATGAGAACTCCTAGCTATAAATACATTTCCTATTAAAAAGAACCGAGACTCATCGGAGAAATGGCTGTTTCCAAGATCAGGACAGGAAAGGTACAAAATGATTTGGTCTGGAACATCTTGTAATATCATAAAACAAGGAAGCTATCAAGTTTGTATGCTAAGTACTCTTAACACACACAAGGGCCCACAAGGAAACTCTGGGAGGTTTTGGATCTTTCACCCTGATTGTGGACATGCTATCACAGGCATTTGCATATGTCCAAACTCATTAGATTATATACGTTAAATATGTGCAATCCTTTGATTGTCAATGACGGCTCAATAAAGCTGTGTTTGGGGGGAAAAAAAAACCTACCAGGGTCATGTCAAAATAACTCAGGAACCAACCTGAATATAAGTTCCCACTGGCCAAAGATGGAAACATGTGAGATCAATAAGGATAATAACTGGGAAGTGTTGAAATACATTGTTTTTTTTTTCCAGCCTATGAGTTTACAGTACCACTAGAGGAATATCATTCTTCACTTTGGGGAGATGTCAGAGAACCATATTTTGAAAGGTAGCAAATAAAGGGAATGAACTGCATGTTTATATTGCCTTTACGATATGAACTTTACCTCTGGGTAACCAAAGAGTTGCTGAGAGTTCATTTCTCACTATAAGAGAATTCCAGCTAATAAATGAAAAAGGAAGACAGAATTAGAACATCACTATTTTGCAACCTGTAATGAATTCATAGGTTTAAGCAACCGTCGTTTATAGCTGCTAAAATCACAAGAAGAGAGGCAGCCAGCTATTTCTGTGTCTCCTGTTGGAATAATACATCACTAACTAGGGAATAATCTTGCCAAAAATTGAAG
The DNA here is from genome assembly GCF_000001405.40 of Homo sapiens. NCBI lineage: Eukaryota > Metazoa > Chordata > Mammalia > Primates > Hominidae > Homo > Homo sapiens. Next base: position 150,929,900 of record NC_000007.14, read on the forward strand.
CCTGAGTCTGATAAAAATTCTAGGTTTAACTACCAACTTATGAGAAATACGGGTGACAGAGAAAAATGCAGAGTGACCAACCATTCTGGTTTGCTCAGGACTTTCTTGGTTTTAGCAGTGGGTAAAACCAAGACCTGTTGGTCCCCTCTAATGTTGAGCCATATCATAAGGATACAATCAGCAAAATTCAGATTGTAGAAAACTCTAAAGAATGAACAACCTAGATTCTTCAATCAAAACAAAACACAAAGAAAAATATGGAGGAGGACCCCATAGAATAAAAGGTACTTAAGAGTCATATCTACTCGTTACAATGTATGGATCTTATTTGGTTTCTGGTTCAAATAAAGAAAACTATTTCAAAAATATATGAAGCTGGATGCAGTGGTGCACACCTGTATCCTCAGCTACTTGGGAGGATGAGGCAGGAGGATCACTTGAGCCCACAAGTTCAAGTCCAACCTGGGCAATATAGCAAGGCCCTGTCTCTATAAAATATATGTATGTGTGTATATATACATATACAGAGATATAGATATATGAAACAACTGAAGTTTGATTGCTAACGGAACATTTGATGATATCAGGGAATTACTCTACCTTAGATGTGGTAAGCTATTGTGGCTATGTATTTTTTGAGTCCTCATCTTTTAGAAAAATTGGAATATTTACAGATGAAATTATATGGTGTTTGGGCCAGGCGCGGTGGCTCATGCCTGTAATCCCAGCACTTTGGGAGGCCGAGGCAGCCGGATCACGAGGTCAGGAGATCAAGACCATCCTGGCTAACACGGTGAAACCCCGTCTCTACTAAAAATACAAAAAATTAGCCGGGCATGGTGGTGGGTGCCTGTAGTCTCAGCTACTTGGGAGCCTGAGGCGGGAGAATGGCGTGAGCCCGGGAGGCGGAGCTTGCAGTGAGCCGAGATCGCACCACTGCACTCCAGCCTGGGGAACAGAGCTGAGACTCCATCTCAGAAAAAAAAAAAAGAAAGAAATTATATGGTGTTTGGGATTTGCACCAAAATAATCTGGTGTTGGGGAGTGGAGGGTATGTGGAAACAAGATTGGATATGAATTGATCATTGTTAAAGTTATCTGATAGATACCTAAAGGATTATTAGACTGTTCTTAGTGCTTTCGTATATATTTTAAATTTTCCTCAATAAAAACACATTTTAATTCAAAAATGAAAAAATACAAGGGGTGAGGCTCACCTGGAAAGCTGAGCATTTTCCTCCATGAGCCAATTATTGGCCTTTAGCCCTGACACCCACACTCCTTTCCATACTTCCCTCTGAATTGTAAAAATTACATTTCAGACTCCCTCACCAACTGGGTTCTGGCTGAGTTTCACCAATGAGAATCAATGACAGGAGAGGAGAGGAGACGAGAAAGAAGCCACTAAGCTTCTGCCACAACTGCAGCAGGCTACTGTGGCTTTTAGCAGCGCTGGTGGCTTCATGGGGACCACAGAGCAGCTTGCGTTTGGCAGCTTTCCAGCAGCAGCAGGGAGTGTGTGCTGTGGGCTCTCTCCAAGGGGCAGTGGCAGCTTCCTGACCTATTGGCATCACCCTTTCCTCCTGTTCACTGTGGCAGCTCTTCTTCCACATGTGTAGCCCATGTTTCCAATAGTTCCTGAACTAAATCCTCTTTGAAATATCTGGAGTAATGTCTGCTTTTATGACTGCACACTGGCTGATACATCATGACACCAGATGACCAGCAGCTATAACAGGTGTAGAGCTGATAAGAAGCTTATGCAAAGAAAGACGGGTATGGGATTGCCAGGAGCTGAGGGAAGAGGGGCTAACGGCCATGAATTCAGGGCAGAACAGCCATGAATAAGCTCCGGAATTAGTCCCAAGCATCCTATGAAGGCCAGTGGCTTGTGATTAATTCACAGACCCAGAGAGAGTCCGCTTTGCCTTCCTCTGCTCAGGGGAGAGAAAAGGATGCTGGAGAAGGGAGGCAGCATGGCTGGTCCCATACACTCCTCTTCCTAGCTCTCAACTGCCTCGGGCCAGTAGGCAGCAGCTGCAGCAGTCAGCACAGTGTGGAAGCTCTTCCATCGTTAGAAACCTGGGAGCTTTTGTCCATGAGGCTCATCCACCTTGAGAGTGACACCTCACGCTTCAGTCAGCAGGGAGAAGGAGAGGTGAAGGAGAAACTCTCCTCCCTTAAAAAGCACTTCCCAAAAGTTACATATGGCACTTTCACTCCCATCCTACTGGCCCAAGCTTAATCACAGGGCAACACCAAGCTGCAAAGGGGGCTGGTGAATGGTCGTTATTCTAGGAAGCCATGGGATGAGCTCAACATTGGAGGTTCCATTACTGAAGAGGAAAAGAATAATGGATATTGGGGCAGGCAATGAGCAGCTGTGGTCACAAAGGGTTGTGATGATATATGTAACCCCTGTGTCTACCATGGGGAAGGCCCACACATACAAAATGGAGATTGGCCTGTCTGCTGCACTCCTCCCAGCAAGCCCCTTAAAAAGTCACCTTCTGGCCGGGCACCGTGGCTCACGTTTGTAATCCCAGCACCTTCAGAGGCTGAGGTGGGTGGATCGCCTGAGGTCAGCAGTTCGAGACCAGCCTAGCCAAAATGGTGAAACCCCATCTCTACTAAAAATACAAAAGTTGCCCGGGCATGATGGCGGGTGCCTGTAATCCCAGCTACTCAGCAGGGTGAGGCAGGAGAATCGCTTGAACCCGGGAGGCAGAGGTTGCAGTGAGCCAAGGTCATGCCATTGCACTCCAGCTGGGTGACAGAGCAAAACTCTGTTTCAAAAGAAAAAAAAAGTCATCTTCCATGGGAGGAGGGTGCAGCCCAAAAAACTACCTCAGGTATTACACTTATTACCTGGGTAATAAAACAACCTGTACAGCAAACCCCCACGACATGCAATTTACCCACATAACAAACCTGCACATGTACCCTTGAACCTAAAATAAAAGGTTAAAAAAATGAAAATTTAAAAATTTTTGAAATGGGGCTGGGCACGGGGGCTCACATCTGTAATCCCAGCACTTTGGGAGGCCAAGGCAAGTGGATCACTTGAGGTCAGACGTTCGGGACCAGCCTGGCCAACATGGTGAAACCCCGCCCCTACTAAAAACACAAAAATTAGCTGGGCGTGGTGGCACACACTCGTAATCCCAGCTACTCGGGAGGCTGAGGCAGGAGAATCGCTTGAACCAGGGAGGCAGAGGTTGCAATGAGTCAAGATCACACCACTGCACTCCAGCTTGGGTGACAGAGCGAGACTCCATCTCAGAAATAAATAAATAATTAAATAAAAAATTTTTAAAGTCACCTTCAGTAGTATATCTGGGGGCCAAGGGAATGTCCTAGCATCACCCATGCTGGGAGCAGACTGCAGCCATGGGGGGGTGTGGCCGGCTCCTGCCCACCTCCCTCTACCCTGCCTCCGCTCAGCGTGTAGCTCTGTCCTCCAGGAAATGTCCCCTCCTCTACTGCCCCAAGCACCACTAACAAACAGCAATGTGTGTGACAAGCGTTTACTGAGGACTAGGAGGGTAACAGAACCACTGGGGCGAAGTAACCTAACACTAAATGTCGAACATCAATTTTCCTAAATATTCATTGGCCATTTCCCACCAAAAAATAATTCCGCACGTCTTCATAGGCCATGGAAGTCTCTTCTCCCTCTCACCGCTGGGCCTCATCTCTCCCAGGATGCCCTTAAAGACTCAAAAGTGTGCCAGGTGGGGTGGCTCATGCCTGTAACCCCAGCACTTTGGGAGGCCAAGGCAGGCGGATCACTTAAGGCCAAGAGTTCAAGACCAGACTGGCCAACATGGTGAAACTCCGTCTCTACTAAAAATACAAAAATTAACTGGGCGTGGTGCTGCACACCTGTAATCCCAGCTACTGGGGAGGCTGAGGCACAAGAATCACTTGAACCCAAGAGGCAGAGGTTGCAGTGAGCCAAGATCATGCCACTGCACTCCAGCCTGGGCAACAGAGTGAGACTCTGTCTCAAAAAAAAAAAAAAGACTCAGAAACGATTCCTGGTGTACCATCTCTGACCAGCTCTCACTTACCCAGGCCCCTCTCTAAGGACCTCATCGTTAATAACCAAACAGACTACAGGGTACTTCTGAACAAAAGGAGCCATCTCTTCCTCACAGGAATAACCTGCCTTTCTCCCAGGACATTCAGTTTAAACTACAGTCAGCTTTTAAAAATATTTTTACTGTTAATATAGAAGACAGAAATGGCTGTTTCCACTTTCAGTGAGAAAACATTGAGGTAGGAGGTGAAACCAGGCCCCGCAGTGGCTTGCTGTCACGTTGTGTAGGGGAAGAAGGCAGCTGGGAAACCCCTCTTCCCAAAAAATCATAAAGAACAGGCCTGGAGCGGGGTTTCTGAGCCTCAGCACTATGGCCATCTGGGGCTGGCTGATTCTCTGTTGTGGGGGCTGTCCTGTGCCTGCAGGATGTTACTGGCCTCTACCCACTAGATGCCAGTAACAACCCATCTACCACCACCCTGAAGTGGGACAACCGAAAGTGCACAGACATTGCCACACATGCCTGGGGGGCAATATCACCTCTGGTTGAAAACCGTGGACTGGAGGAAAGACATGCCTGCCTGGACATAAGAGCAGGACAAGACAGCCTGGTTTTGTTCCTTCTGACCTGAGACTGTCCTCACCCTCCCTTGAGGTCCAGGCCTGTAACTGGGATCCACTGGCAGGCAGCCAGAGAAGTGGAGAGATGGGTAGGGTGAGGGCCTGGGAGCTCCAGCCAGATGGTGATTATCCAAATAAATATTGATTGAAACAGATTCCACTGTTTCCCTCTTCTCAAAGACATAACACCTTCTGCGGAAATGAATGGGAGCAGCTAAAGGGCTCCGCACCATCCCTCTCCAACCCTGGAGAAAGAACCCCACGCACAGGCCGCCCAGCACATCAGATACCTTCACACCCAAGAACAGGCCAGGCCAGGCATGGTGGCTCACACCTGTAATCCCAGCACTTTGGGAGGCTGAGACAGGTGGATTTCTTGAGCCCAGGAGTTCAAGACCAGCCTGGGCAACATGGTGAAACCCTACAAAATACCAAAAAAAAAAAAAAAAAATAGCCAGATATGGTGGTGCTCACCTGTAGTCCCAGCAACTCAGGAGGCTGAGTTGGGAGGATCGCTTGAGCCAAGGGAGGTTGAGGCTGCAATGAGCTGTGATCATGTCACTGCACTCCAGCCTGGCTGTCAGAGGGAGACCCTATCTCAAAAAAAAAGAAAAAAAAAAGAAAAATCTGGGTTTTACAAAGCTATGTTCCAAGGGTTGGGAGCATCACAGTTCTGCATTTGTGGAATTGAGGGGCCAGAGCTGTGTCCTAAACCTGGCCCTGACTCTATTTCTATGGCCTTGGCAAGCCACCTCCTGCCTCCGGGACTCCATCTCCTGCTCGGCATGGTAAATAGATGGAGCCCTGCACTCTCAAGAGCCTTCCAGTCTGCCGGTCTCAGCTCCCCAGCACCTGATCCTGTGCCCCTCCCAGCCTCCAGTGATCTATCGCTTGATAAGTTTTCTCAAAAGCCCACTTTCCAACCCTGATATTTTCAAGTAGCCAGTCAGCTTTCACTGAGCTCTGTGACAATGACAAAAATGGACAGAATTAAAACCCCAGGTTTCTATTTCCAATCCTCAGGGGCGGGGATGTTCACAAAGACACCTTCAGGCAGTGCCACTCTGCTGCTGGTCCTTCGTGCACACCTCTGGAGAGAGACTTCCTCAAACAGACCCTCACTTCATCTCCACCGCAATCTCAGCCCTGGCTGCAAAGAATTTATAGTCGTGTTAGGTAGACAAGACTAACACCACATTTCTAGTTTATTTCACCAAAGGTGAAATATTCCACCTTCTCCACAACAGCAACCAGGAAAATTTATCCCCAAAATAACATGTTTTATATCAGGTCTGTTTCATAATTTTAACCCTTAACCTGTGTTTTTAAATTTCACTTTAAAATACAAAAAGATGTGGCCGGGCATGGTGGCCCACACCTGTAATCCCAGCACTTTGGGAGTCAGAGCCAGGAGGATTGCTTGAGGTCAGGAGTTCAAGAGCAGCCTGGCCAACATGATGAAATGCCATTTCTACTAAAAATACAAAAATTAGCCAGGCATGGTGGTTCACGCCTGTAATCCCAGCTACTCGGGAGGGCTGAGGCAGAGAATCGCTTCAGCTGACATCGCCCCACTGCACTCCAGCCTGGGCAACAGTGTGAGACTCCATCTCAAAAAATAAAATAAAATACAAAAAGAGCAAATCCATCATTTACATCTGGGCCACAGTGTCCCTCCGTCTCCCTCTGGCCCCGGAGCACATGGCCATCTGGTTGTGCTGACTGTGCTGGGTACGCTGACTGGTCTATCCGCAGTCCATCCTGGCCCCTCACACACCTCCAGGTGCTAGTGTCAAGACACCTGTTATTCCCTCCATGTCATTCCCAGGAGCTCTCATGGCCGCATCTCCAAGAGCCAAGTCCCTGCCCCATCCTCCAGAGCCAGTTTCTAAGGACCCCACCTCCATTCACAACGGCACCATTGCTATTATGCAGCAATTAATGACTTAAGTTGAATTTTCATCAGCCTGGCCCTGTCTGAGAACTTAGCAGGCAACTGGGACCCTGCCAGTCTCTATGTGGGTCAAATGTGTCCCTTAATGATTTCTGAAAATGAAAACAACTCGATAACGTGTTTAGGATATGAGACTACTGAAGCCCCATTGGTAAGTTCCTTAGACCACAGAGAACACAGTATCAAAGTCAGGCTGTGAGCAAAGAGTGGACATCCCTCCAGTCCAGATAACCCTGCCCCTGCGGGCTTTGCAGTAAGAACTGAAAGTTCAGTCCTTCGGGTTTTTAAAAATATTTTTTCTGCTAATATAGAAGACAGAAATGGCTGTTTCCACTTTCAGTGAGAAAACATTATCCAGGTGTGGTGGCACACGCCTGTGGTCTCAGCTGCTCGGGAAGCTGGGGCGGGAGGATCACTTGAGCTCAGGAGGTTGAGACTGCAGTGAGCCATAGTTGCACCACTGCACTCCAGCCTGGGTAACAGAGGGAGACCTTGTCTCTTAAAAAAATAATAATTAATTAAAAAAAACTGTTACAGGACCAGGCACAGTGGCTCACGCCTGTAGTCCCAGCACTTTGGGAGGCCAACGCGGGTGGATCACCCAAGGTCAGGAATTCGTGACTAGCCTGGCCAATATGGTGAAACCCCACCTCTCTATAAAAATACAAAATTATCTGGGCATAGTACCGCATGCCTGTAATCCCAGCTACTCAGGAAGCTGAGGCAGGAGAATCGCTTGAACCCGGGAGGCAGAGGTTGCAGTGAGATCGTGCCATTGCACTCCAGCCTGGGCGAAAAAAGCAAAACTCAACTCCATCTCAAAAAAAAAAAAAAGTTACAGGACGGTGTGGCTTTGTGTGTCATGCAATGCCACAGAGGATAGCTGTAGACTGACAAGGGTTCATGGAGAGGCTTTATGGAGAGGGCTGCCAGGAGCCAGGTCCTGGAGAATGAGGAGGACTTGAATAGGAATAAAAGAAGCTCTGTTAGGCACTTCATAAAAGTGGGGCCATGGTCATTTTCTTTTATTTCTCTTATATGGTCCCAGCTAAATTATGAGCTACTGAAGGGTGCGGTTGCATCCCATCCAGCCTGCAGCAGGACGGGAAGTGAGGGGCCGTGCTGCTCTGGAAACTCCTGCCTTGAGCAACTTTAAGCCTCATTCCCCTCCACTGAAAAACGACGGGGTAGACTGTGCTCTCTCATGACTTTTGGCGACTTTCTGTGATTCTAGGTGGGGCTCAAGGAAAACATTTTAAGTGAAAGCTCTCCTGCCCTGGGTTGGGGTATAAAGTCTCCACGGGGGATCCCGGGCATGGTAAGCACCCACAAGGCCCAGTCTGCTCTGCTAGAGTGAGGCCACCTGGACAGGAGCCTCACCAGCACCGGATCCAGCTGCGGGGCTAACCCAAGACCCAGGACCAAGGAGACGCCACCCACAGGGGATGCTGAGGAGAGAGGCGTGTCTGTCCTGCTGCGTCAGTTACGTCCACCCTGCCAAGCACTTCAGCCAAAGGAGCTGCCTCTTTGCTAAAGTCACTTTCAGCTTTTCTGCACTTTTTCCATTTCTGAACCACAAATTTGGCAGTTACCCAGAACATTCAACGTTTACCAGTTGGTGAAAAGTTAGCAGGAAACTTCGAGGAGTTTGTCCTCAGCAAGCAACGCTGTGCCCCAACACCTCCTCAGTCATGTCTGGTGTGACTTGAGTCTCTAATAAGCAATGGCACTTGCCGTCCCCTCCAAACACTGATCCTTCACCTGATGCCTGAGGTTGCAAGAGGATAGGCTGGGCTAAAGCTGCAGCAGCTGCCTCGGCAAGTAGGAAGCTAATTGGCTCAGGAAGGGATATTCCTAAGACCTGGGCTTTGCAAGCCGTGAGCTGAACAGCTCAGCCTACGATCACGCACCACTTCCTGTGCGCCTCAGGACTGCCTTTAAGGCATGACAGGAGCCACTGAGCCAAGCCCAGCCCAACCCTCAGACCTGCACCAGGCTCTGCTCTCCCAGGAGATCCTGTGCCTCCCATTCAGCACAGTTCCTTTGCAGCTTCCTCATCCTCGCCAGCTCCGCATCTCTGCAACGTGCTGCCTCATTATGATGGCTAATTATTATTATGGGAAAACTGCTTGCTGACCAAGACAGAAGCCATACTGCAGCCTCTCCTCCCTTCCAGGGCCATGTTTTAATTCCTCCCTGGGGTTCATCAGATGCATCTGGATAGCATCCCAGTGGCTGTGGGAGGACAAGGAAAAAGGTCACCAGTGAGGTGGCACTGACAGGGTGGCCAAGAACTTAGGGCTTGAAGGTCTGGGATCATCTTTTAAGTTGTTTTCTGGCCTGTATCATGAGGTAACTTCCCCAGTGCTCACAAAGGCCCCTCACATTTTTTTCTTTTTGGAGACAGGGTATTTTGCTCTGTTGCCCAGGCTGGAGTGCAGTGGGGCGATCATGACTCACTGCAGCCTCAACTTCCTGGGCTCAAGGAATCCTCCTGCCTCAGTCTCCCAAGTAGCTGGGACTACAGGCACATGCCACAATGCCCAGCTGATTTTTTTAATTATTTTTTTAAGAGCCTGTTGCCCAGGCTAGTCTTGAACCCCTGAGCTAAAGCAATCCTCCCAGGCACAGGAACCAGCTGCATGCTTAGGAGCCAGTGCCTGCTGACTCCAATGTCTCAGGTGCCTTGACTCAGAACATAAGCCTCGCCCCTGCCCCTCAGGCATCCCCAGAGACATGGGGTGGCACTAGGCACATGGGCTCAACCCATTTCTCAGTATCTGAAAGAAAAAGCTCCCCCAGGGCCAGAGGATGGAGGACAGCTGAGTCCCTTCACTCATTCCCATGTCGCCTAATCCTCATTCCTCCATGCTCCTTTCTCCAGCCTGAGAATAACACTTCCCTAAGGTCACTTAGAGCCCCACAGAAAGCCAAACTTCTCAGCGGAAGAGTCATCATCCCAGGGCACCCAGGGTAACTTGACATTAAATACAGCCTCTCTGCTAAGACTTCCATTCCACCTGGGCTGCTTAAGTCCAGGAGACCACCCTGATTTGACCTTCCTAGTGTCCCTCATCAGCAAGTTCCATCTGATTATCTGGCTGCCATCACCTGGTAGAGCAGAAAGGGGAAGCAGAGCTGTCACATATGGTTGTGTTGCTATGAGAGCCCTCTCCAGACTGTTTCCCTAATGACTGATTTTCTTGCCAGTTAGCATCTAAGTCTTTTGCAGCCAGACCTTATGCTATTGCTAATTTTAAAATAATGGTAAGAGGATCATGCTAAATTCTTCTGCTCTGGTTTCTTAGCAATGTCTCTTGCAGACTTCCAACTCACTTATAAGGTGTGATTATTAATATAAAATAATGAAGCTGATTATTTAAACAAGTGCCTCAGAATGCATTCTCTTTTTCTTTTTTTGGAAGACAAAAGTTAACAACAACAACAACAAAAAACCTAGAATTGTACTTGGATGTTTAGTAATTCAAAATGATTAAGAAGCACCCTCTTTAAAATGCTACTGTAATAAAAAGATCAAGATAAATTGAGTTTTGGGGGTGGGAGGGTTGGGTTTTTTTGAGACAGGGTCTGGCTCTGTTGCCCAGTCTAGAGTGCAGTGGTGCGATCTCAGCTCACTGAAACCTCCGCCTCCCAGGCTCAAGCTGTCCTCCCACTTTAGCCTCCCAAGTAGCTGGGACTACAGGTGCGTGCTATCATGCTGGCTAATTTTTGTATTTTTTTGTAGAGACAGGGTTTTGCCATATTGCCCAGGTTGGTCTCCAACTCCTAATCTCAAGCAATCCACCTGCCTCGGGCCCCCAAAAGTGCTGGGATTAGAGGCGTGAGCCACCGCATCCAGCCTTAAATTGAGTTTTTATCGCTTAATACCAGGCATATATGCAGCTTTAAGAAAATAGTTACTATTTAATCTTTTACTAAATCAATTTTCACACTAACCACTCTTTAATGATATACAATTATCTAAAAATGCCTCAAAACAGTCACTTTGGAAGGCCCTGCGTTTTCCGTTTATTTCAACATCGTTGAGCACTTGAGAGACACTAACACACCACATGTGTCCTCTTATGGTCCTTGTGTTGTCAAGCTGCCAGGACTCCTACAAAGAAATACCTCTTCCTACAGCAGTGTAAGCTCTCACTGAAAAGCAAGTTCAATCAGGTTTCAGTTTCCGGAAGACTGTCCACCACCAGGGGAAAAGGTAGATCCCACAGACCCGAATCTGGAACTGCAAAGCCCCCGGTGTAACCTCCCTCAGCCTTGACCATCGAAGGACAAATGAACAACCACCCAGAGGACGGTGAGCTGGAGCCCTCCACTCAGAGGCCACCTGGAAACTGGAAACTGGGAGCAAACCCCCCTGCAAAAAAGTATCCCCAGTTCCACCTCAGAGGCATTCCAGAGCATGGGAACAGGGTGGGGCCCACAAGCCCGCAGACTGGGGCAGCCATGGACAGGCCCCAACATTCAATCTACAAAATGAATGGACTTGAGGCTCTCGGTCCAAGTCTCTGGTTTATCCTCCCCACTGCTCCCGTTATTCTCTTTCAAATATTTAATATTTACCTTGGTTGTGCTAAAGTAAAAAGAAAAAAAAAGATAAGCATGTGTAGCCACATTGCCAGTGAAGGAGTGGGGCTTGTGCTCCCTGGGGAGGCAGGCGGGGAGGCAGGCGGGGAGGCAGCCATAATCCAGAGGCCAAGCCTTTGGGAAGAAAGTGACCTCCAGGGACAGACGCAAATTTTAGCCCAGCCAACTCTGTCAGGAAGACATCTCCCTTTTCTGTGCAAAATCCTCAAACATGGGGTCTTGTGGGCTGCCTAGTGGCCACATCAGGTCCTGGGCACTGTGCTAGATGCTGGGTGGGAATAGGCGAAAAGATGACCAGCATTCAGCCCTTCCCCTTTACGGAGGACAGACGAGCAAGCAGGCAGGGTGTGGGGAGCCCCTAACACAGGTGCCAGCGAGTGCCACAACCGGCTGAGAAACCTGCAGAAGGCCTCAGGAGCGGCGACGTCCATGCTAGGGCTGGGAAGACAGAAGGGTCTTTCCACACCAAGGATGAGGGAGTCTGCGTCACAAGAAGAGAGCAAGACAGGGCAGATGCAAGAACATGGTGAACAGGACGGAAGCTCGCGTGGCTGCAGCATGACCCACATGGCAGGGAGGGGAGAGGGCAGGTGAGTCTGGAAAGAAAGATGAGAACCTCTGTGCAAAACTGGCACAGAGGGCCTTGCCCTGCAGGCAAGGGGGAGAAGTCCACCTGTCCCTTCAGGACCAGCAGGCATGTGACTCAGACCACCTGGGCTCACCTTCCAGCTCCACTCTCAGGAGTGGGGTATGCTCGGGCAAGTCACTCAGCCTCTGGGGCTTTGGTTTCAGGTGGCTGGAATAATGCTTGCCGCAAAGGGCGTGCTCAGGAACTATCCATTGCTGTTATTTGTCAGTGAAATGTGAGAGCTGCCACCACCCGGCTGAGTGGGGATGAGATCTTAGGTAAGGACAGGTGCTGGAGACCAGCTTGCACGTGGATAGGCAGGCTGGGCATCCCTCCACGCCTGGGGATGGAGGTGGAGGCGAGACAGGCCACGCTGCCCTCCTGCTTCTGTTCCTGCTCCCAGCCCCTGACCAGACTCCAGCTTGGGGCCCTGCGCCAGGCTTCTGCCACGTGTTGACAACCACATGGATCCCTTCCTCTCTTGCCACAGCTCCCTCCAGCTCCCGTCCCACCCTCTGGCTCTCTTGGTTGGGGAAAACCCTCAGCTCTGGATGACAGGCCCTTAACAGCCAGGTGCCCAGCCCTGCGGGAGGGGAGGGACTGCACCACCACGGCTTGCCCTTGTCCTCACCACCAAACTTCCTGTCGCTCTGGGAGCCCAGATGAGGGGAGGAGCCAAGGAGCAGGCCTGCCTGTGGCTGGGCAGTGCAGGCGGGAGGATGGGTGGGGAGAACCTGAAGTCTGACGCACCTGCCACCAACTAGGGATGTGACCTCCAGCCAGTCACTGGACCAGCCAGAAACTGACTGTCCTCATGTGGATGCTAACATGCCCTCCGCTGGGGTAGGGATTCAGGACACAAGGGCAGAGCACCCAGCTGCATACCGGACCCAGGGACCACCTGGCAAACGCAGCCACTGTGACTGCCCCTCACCCACTCTCCAGCCTTGGCAGGGGAGTCCTGGAAGGGACTTGGCAAGGGGCATCTGGGCAGCCTGACCCATCCAGACTGAACTGACTCCGGGACACCTGTGTATTTCTATCGAGGACCAGCATGGACAGGTTGCCTTCTGCTGGGCCCAGACCCCATCCTGAGCACAGACACATGCACACTCACTCACACACATGCATCCACTCCTCAGGAGCACCAAAATCCACGCCAGACCTCCACCGCCCAGGCAGGGCCCTCACCTAGGGGAAGATAGCTAACCGTGGTGCTGGCATGGTGCCACAAAGAAATAACCGGTGGCACCTCTGCTACAAAGCCAGGAGGGGGGCAAAGGCCCTTTCTTCCTCTCCTCTCTGTGTCCACCAACACCCAGCCCGGCTGCTGGACACGGAGTGGTGGGCATCAGGCAGACTCCCAAGATGAAGGCACTCTAAGGACAAGGGCAGACCATGACAAGGATGAAACAGCACCAGGGAGCGGGGAGTTGGCTCAGCTCACAGCCCAGCATGCGAAGAGCATTGAGTTTCGTGTGTACCTTCACTGCTCCCCATAAGCCACTGCCTGGGTCTGTCTCCTGCCCTGGGCTCCAGAGTCCATAAGCAGAGCCATGCCCCACTGACACCAAATCTAGGCCACCCCAGCTAGGCCCCCACCTGCAGTGACAGTCACATCAACCAACCAGGAAGGCCTGTGTTAAACTTTTAAACCATGAGCAGAAGCAAGCTCACACTCACATGTGCATGTGTGTACATGTGTGGGACAGATCCTGATGCACAAACCTGTCTTTTCTGCCTGGCATCCCTCTCTGTCACCCCTCTCCCCCTCTGACCTGTGGATCTCTTCCTTCTCCCTGTCTCTCCCAGGCCCTGGAAAGGGGGAGATCCCTTCCTTCTCTCCTCCCTGCTCTGGGCACAGGGAACCTTCCAGGCTGCTCAGAGACCAACACCCGCCCCACCCAGGCATGGGCAGTGAGAACGGCACAGTTGTCTTTAAAACAGTCAACAGCCAGGCGCGGTGGCTCACACCTGTAATCCCAGTACTTTGGGAGGCTGAGGCGGGCGGATCATGAGGTCAGGAGATCAAGACCATCCTGGCTAACACAGTGAAACCCTGTCTCTACTAAAAATACAAAAAATTAGCTGAGCGTGGCGGTGGGTGCCTGTAGTCCCAGCTACTCGGGAGGCTGAGGCAGGAGAATGGCCTGAACCCAGGAGGCGGAGCTTGCAAGGAGTTGAGATTGTGCCACTGCACTCTAGCCTGGGTGACAGAGCGGGACTCCATCTCAAAAAAAAATTAATAAAATAAAACAGTCAACAAACCCACCTCCGAGGGTCAGAGGTTTCAAAGACTCAGTGAGAAGCTGCTCTGTCTCTGGAGGCCTTTGGCAGCTCCCTGCCTGCAAACCCACCCAGCTGGGCACAGCCTGCCCGCCACCCATTGGCTCTCCACACCAGCCTCAGTCATTGCACCACATTCCTCTGGGGGCTGCATGTCCTTACAAGCCCAGCAGCACATGCACACACATGTACACACACACAGGCACACGCAGGCACTTGCACACACACCCTTCACTGTCCCCAAGACATCTGCCTTGCCTTGCTCCCCGGTCATGGGAATGAGTCACCCTGAAGGTTGCACCCTCTTCAGGAAGCTCCTCTTGAGATCCAGGATCACAGGGGACCAAGGTGATACAAGTGAGGTCCATCTGCAGCCAGACACCAGGTGAGCTCTGGTCAGGGCTGGAGTCACCAGTGTGTCCGGGGCCCAATTGTATTGGATAAGATAAGGCTAAGTTGTGGGTGGCAGGGGGAGCCAGGACTCAGACCAATTTCAGGTTAGGGTCAACGCAGGCTCAGGAACTGGGTGAGGGAGACAAGTGCAGGGCTGCTTCCACAGTCAGTGTGAAGCCAAGCTGTGGGAGCCAGGGTGCCCCACCCAGCAGAGGCACATGGCCCTCAGGGGCTAGACACCAGGTCAGTGTCCCATCAGGACTGCCTCTAAATGCATGTGGTTCAGGGGGTTTTTTGTTATCTTGAATCCAGGGCCCTACAGAGACAAGATTCTGTCTCCCTGGAGATGACCTGTGTCAGCCCCCAGGGAGCACCCCCACTGCACACACCCAGACCTGGATACAGGGGCAGCCCTGTGGGCCTGGGCATGCAGACAGACCCGGATTCCTGTGCAGGCACACCTATGCATGTCCAGACAGGAACACAGGACACAGCAAGTAACAGTTACACCCTCCCAGCACCACTGGAGTCTCCTCAGGATAATTATTTATTATTCATAGTCATCAGCATCTTCATTAATTATTCATATGATCCTTAATTATTATCCTTAACAATAAGAGCAGTAAATAGCAGAAAAGTCCTTGAGGTGCCTAAGGCCCAGGGCCGGGTGCCTCCGGGCAGTTAGACCAGCTAATGCCCTCAGGGCAGTGGGGGGACCACAGGCCCCACCTACTGCCGGCCCTGCCCCTGCCCCTCTCACTGGGGCCCAGGGGACTGCAGGAGAAGATGGTCCCAAGGGCTGGGGGAGGAGCTGTGCTTTCGAGTTCCTCTCCCCTTCCACGGTCAGGGCCTCCTGAGCAGGGCCTCCAAGGGGAGCGGCCCAGCAGCGCCTTGATCCCTGGGTGAGCCACGTGTCCACACTGGGCAGCCCCACTAACTGCCCGGGTCCGAGCCGTGTCTGTGCAGGGGCTGGGAGGTGAGGGCCCCCAGCTGGCCCGGTAGGGAGAGGCGTCGTGTGGGGCCTTCTTGGGGAAGCTCTGGGGCCCCCGGGGGCAGCTCCTCACACGCCATGAACTGGGAAACCTGCAATACACACAGAGCATGGGCAGGCGAAGAGGCCATGGAGGAGGAGGAAGGGGAGGGAAAGGGGCAGGAGAACCCGGGGACAGAGGATGGACGGGAGGACAGGAGGGCCAAGAGGAGAGTCAGGTGGGCAGAGAAGCTGGAGGGGACAAGAGCCAAGGCAGCGAGAGCAGGACAGGGGCCACCAAGGGGAGGCACCAAGGTGGGAAGTAGAGAAAGGCATTCTCTGAGAGCAGGAGCCAAACAAGAGAGCTGGGAGCAGGGAAAACCCTAGGCCCCTGTCTCTTCCCGAGGGAATGTGGCCGCTGAGCCCAACCCAACCTGGAACAAGCAGTCTCTGTGTTGGGACAGAAGCTGGGACAGAAAAAGAGACAAGATTCCTTCCCGCAATCCAGAAAGAACTCGGGGACCTAGAAACAGAGGCAGGCTGGCGGCCAGGCATCTGAAGGCCAGGGAGAGGGCCGGGGCAGGCGGGAGGGGTTTGTGGGTACTGAGCGTCTGCTGGTGAGAGCTCTGCGGGGGCGGCTGCGAAGGGAGACTGGCACATTTGCTGACGTGGGCCCTCGTGTCTGCAAACAGGAGCAGGCAGCATATGGGAGGGGGGAGCGGATGCCAAGGGAAGTGGGGAGGGAGCAGATCCCAGGCCGCCTCTGGCAGCCAGAGGAGTCCCCACCATGGACGCGGAGGTTGACACAGACACCGCCATCCTGCAGAGGCCAGGAACATGCAGGTCCACCCAGGAGAGGACAAGGGGCAACTAAGGCCCATCTCTAGCAGAGGGGGCAAAGCAGGCCCAGGAAGTCCTCCCCTGGAGGCTTGGCCTCTGCACCCTGGGAAATGCCAAGCACCCTCAAGATGACCCTGTGACAGCCACTGCCAAGGGCAAGGATGGGCAGGACGGTGAGACCAGGGAGTGTCACTCACAGAAGGGACCCGGGACCCTGTCCCTAGATACTCTGGTATGCAGCCTCCACCGCCACGTCTCGGGCTCAGTCAGTTCTTGGAGACCACCCGTGGCCGTGAGACAGGCACCACCGTTGGAGCTGGCTCTTCAGGCGATGCTCCGGGGCCTGGCGGTGGAGGCTGTGGACACTAGGGGAGTGAAGCTGCGGGCCACTTAGCCTACAGGTTCCCTGCACCCAGCTGTCTAGGGGCTTTGGACGGGGGACTCTCCTGCCCTACCCTGAGCCTGCAGCTCCTGAAGCAGCCTTCCTCCAGGAGGACAGGGGTGGGAGGAGGGCAGGAACAAGGTTCAGGGAGGCTGGGCCACAGAGCCCAGCAGAAAGGCAGCAAAGCAGGTTTGGGCTGGAATCGGGGAACAAGCGGGTCACGGTACATCGAGGAAGCAGGGCTGGAGCTTACCTGAGAAAGCGAGTCCAAGGTGAGGGTGGGGAGGGGGCTGACGGGCAACAGCGGGGATGTGGAAGTGGGGCCAGGCCCCGGGGTGGTCACAGCACTGTAGGCGGGCGGGACCAGCGTCATCTGCCTCTGTAGCAGCTGCAGGACAGTGGCCATGTCTGCACTCAGCCGGGTCTCCAGCCTGGGGCAGGAAGTGGGGGATGCTCAGAGAAGTGGGGACACCAGTGACAGCCTCCACCGGGAGTGGGGAAGGGGAAGGGGAGGGGGGAGGGGCAGCCTGTCAACCCAGGCCCTCCGCGCTAGAGGTGTGGCAGCCCCCAGCTGGGCTAGGAATGGAAGAAGGGGATCCAGCTGCTGCACACACAGACAGGCCCTCTCCCTCTACCAGACAACACCGCCAGGACCTGGACCAGACTCCAGGGCGTGCCCCCCCACCCCACCTGCACTCCCTCACCTGTTGAGCTGGCGCTGGAGGGCATCCAGCCTGCTCTCCACGTCGCCCCGGGGCCGCCGACCCGGGCTGGAGAGGGGGATGTTGAGGAGGCTGGGGGTGGGGGCGGGGCATCGAGGGAGCTCCTGGTACTGGCGGCCCCGACTGTCCCCCCAGAAGCTGAAAATGTTGGACACTCCTGAGAAGGCGCCTGCAGCCAGAGAGCAGAGCTGGGTGAGCGGGGTAGACGCACCACCGCTGCCACGCCCGGTCCTCCCTCGCCCGCCCGTCGCCCGGGATACCTGACAGGGGGTTGCAAGTGTCGCTGCTCTTCTCGCAGTCCTCCATCAGGGGCTCCCCACCCGGCGGCTCTCCGGGGGGCCTGGGGCTGGAGAAGGGCACCAGGCGGAGGGGGCTGGAGCTGCGGCCTGGGCCCTCATCCTCACTGCTCTCAGGGCTGGAGGGGCCACTGGACGGGCTCTCCCCCCACGGCCCCCCCGGCCGGCCCCGGCTACTCGGCCCTGCCCCCGCCCGGCCCGGCCCCAAGGCCGACACCTCCCCTGGCTGCTCCGTGTCTGTGGGAAACAGAGAATGGGCCTCAGAGAGGGGAGGAGAACAGAGAGGAGGGGGCGAGGGTGGAGGAGGGGACAGGAGCGAGCCCGAGAGAGGACTGGGCAGGAAGCCCTGGTTTGTCCCCAGTCGCTTCTTCTGCTATCTTGCACCCACTGTCAAGCCGACCAAGAACTCCCAGGACCCCCTGACTGCCCAAGCACTGGCAATGGTGCTTCAGGGGTTGGCGGATCTCTGGGACTGCGGGGCCTCAGCCCCATCGTTGGCTCCCTGGCCCTCCTTTGTTCTATGTTCTTTCCTCCTCAGTGCTCACAGAGACCCCAGCCCTGTGAAGTCCAAAAAGCCTAGGCTTGCCCTGGAGGGTGGAAGAGGGCTTCCTGGAGGAGGTGACAGCTGCAGGGGCCCTGAAAGATGGGCAGCATCTGGACAGCTGGGGTGTGGAGTGGGCACACTGGAGGAAGGGATGGGAAGGTCTGAGGCCTGGGTAAAGCAGACACGGCCCACCCCGCCTTCCAGCTCCCAGCCTCACCTTGTCCCCGCCCTCCCCCTTCCTCCCCTCCCCCGCCTCACCCTTGTCCGTGCGCCTGCGGAAGGACAACTTGCGCTTGCGTTGCCGACTGAAGCCACCCTCTAACTCCGTACTGCCGGGGGAGCCCGGGATCATGTTGGTCTGGAACCAAAATCAGTATCAGGGCCCTTTCAGTGCTCTCCTGCCCCACCGGGGTCAGGCCCCAAGCTCCCTCCTTAACACAGAAAAAGTAGGGCTGGGCGCCCCAGCTCTGGGAAAACCCTTCCCTGCCCCCAATGTGATTTTGCCCCAGGCAAAGACTGAGTTTGGGACTTTTGTAGGCTGCTCTATGATACCATTTGACAGACAGGGAAACTGAGACAGAGAAGCATCACATTCAATGTCACACAGCAAAGGGGCAGCCACACAGCTGGAAGCAGGAGGATGGGGTCCAGCTCAGGGCAGCCAACTCACATCTCGCAGGTTGAAGGTGATCTCCAGGCTGGACCAGAAGTGGTCGGAGAACTCAGGGTACATGTCCAGCACCTCCAGCAGGTCGTCCCGATGGATCTTGTGTAGGTCACAGTAGGTGAGGGCCCGCACATCCCCGTTCGACTTGCCAGGCCTTGCATACAGGTTCAGAGGCTCCCCAAAGATGTCATTCTTCCCTGGAGGCCATGGAGAGGACAGGGAGCTCAGCCCCGGGGGGCGGCATCCAGGCAGCAGGCACCTTCTCCCGGCATCCCCACCCCGGGCAGAGCATGTCCCCTCAGCTGGGTCGCCTGCCAGCCGGCCCCCAACCCACACAACCGGGGAAGCAATCTGCCAGCCCACCCTCCCTCAGCTCCCAGCAGGCACGACAGTGCCAGAGGGGCCAGGAGCCCAGGGTCTCCCAGCAAATGAGACCCAGCCAGCAGGACTACCCCAAACCCCAGGTCCCAAACACCCTCTTAGCCAATCACTGCACCCTTATAAGCAATGTTCTTCAAACCAAAGATCAGAACACAGTAGTGAATCAAAACCAGCATTTTTTTTTTTTTTTTTTTTTTTTTACTGAAAGAACATACAGTAGTATAGCTTAGCACAGCACAGAACAGAAATGCTAGAATGAACCACATGCAGTAAGGCCCAGTGTTATGTAGTGAAACTTTGATTTTAGTTTTGTGGGGGTGTGTATTTGTGTTTGTACAGAGCTGAGAAACAAAGTCTAAAATGTCCTACCATCAACTATGGTCGAAAGAGCTTGCTATATCTGCCCTGAGGCACACAGGGCCGAGGGAAGGACAGGCAAAGGGGGAGGAAGTCCTCAGTGTCCAGACACACCAACCCACCCACTGTGCACAGGCAGGGTAGAAAGGAAGTGGGGGGAGGGGGCAGGACTCCCTTTGCTTTGGATGTGTCAAGGGGCCAGGCATGAGGCTGCAGGGAACCACATGGCCCTTAGTGAAACCAAATGCCGAGCTTCCAGGCTAGCATTTCTTCCTCTACTGCCCAGGCTAGAGGATCTAGATTTGATCCTACTTTAAGGAAGCAAAAAGTGTCTGTTTGTGGCGGATCCTGAAGGGAAGGAGAATGTGGGAACCCCAGAGTTCAGCAGCCTCACCCCACGTGGGGCTCCTCTCCATGGCCCCGCTTGGAGGGCCTGAGTTTAGGTGAATTAAAGGAGCCCAGTGACCCTGCAGGCAGTCCCAGGTCCACAGCCCCAGTGACTGCATATTCAGAAGGCTCGCACCTCTTGAGGCTGCAGAGGGCATTTCCAGTCCAGTGCCCGCCCCCCACCCCATACCCAGGATGGCCACGACGACGTCGCCCCGCAGGATCTCGATGGAGCCCCGGGAGATGAAGTACAGGGCGGTGAGCAGGTCCCCAGCATGCACCAGTGTGTCCCCTGGCGGTGCATGTGTGGTCTTGAACTTCATGGCCAGGGCCCGAAGGCAGCCCTTGGTGGCCCCTCGGAAGGGTTTGCAGTGCTGCAGCAGTGAGCGGTTCAGGTGCAGGCAGATGTCAGCCTGCAGGCACTCAGGGAAGCCCTTCAGCACCTGGGGGCAGGGTGGGGGCAGCTCAGCACACCCTCCCTTGGGACCCCCCAACCCACACTCTACTCCACCATCCCACCCCTCCATGTCAGAGAAATCTCAACCTCCAGGCCTGGGAGATCTCGGAAGCATCAGGGGGCCCAGTGTCTTGGGAAGGACCTGGGACCCCACTCCAGCTTCACCATGCCTGGCCGAGCACCCTTGGGCTCTAGACCTCCATGTTCTTATTTGTAAGGCATAGAGACCATTCCCGCCCTGGGCTGTCACAAGGATTTAACCCCATCGCCTATGTGACATATACCTCCCACCCCAAAAGGGGAGCTCTCCAGGGAAGGGGTTCCAAGGGCTTCCATTTCCTCATGGGCAAAAAGGGGCAACGTGCCTCCAGGGTCCTTACTACTGACTGTGACCGCCTGAGACTTGTTTGCTGTGCCAAGAGGTTCCCCTCTGCCACCCCACTCTTCCCAGCCTGCCACCCACTGGCCACGCTCTGGTGGCCTCACCGCGTTCATGTCGATGCCGTTGGTGTAGGACCAGGCGTGCTGGAAGTACTCCTCGAGGCGCTGGCGCAGGGGATTGGGGATCTGGTGGAAGCGGATGAACTCCCGCACCCGCAGCATCTGTGTGTGGTAGCGGGCTGTGCCCGAGTACAGCCGCTGGATGATGGCCGACACGTTGCCGAAGATGCTAGCATACATGAGGGCTGGGGGCGTGGGCACGTGGGGCCGTCAGCCTCTGCAGGGACCCCACCCACCCACAGGGACCCTGCTCAGGCCCCGCACCAGGTCAGTGTCTCAGTCTCAGCGTCGACATGCCCACGAGACGCCCTTGTACATCTGCGCTCCAGCACACCCCACCCTTCAGTAGTCCCCGCCCTGGTGACCCAGCCCCCAAACCATGTCACGATGGTGGCCCCTGGAGTCTCTAAGTTCCAGGGCCTCACTCTGGCCCGGCTAGCAGCCTCAGTTTCCTCCAACTTGGGTTCCTCCACCGTGGGCTCTCCCCGCCGCCCGCCCCTGGGCACACTCACAGCCAATGAGCATGACGCAGATGGAGAAGATCTTCTCTGAGTTGGTGTTGGGAGAGACGTTGCCGAAGCCCACACTGGTGAGGCTGCTGAAGGTGAAGTAGAGCGCCGTCACATACTTGTCCTTGATGGAGGGGCCGCCCAGGCCGCTGCTGTTGTAGGGTTTGCCTATCTGGTCGCCCAGGTTGTGCAGCCAGCCGATGCGTGAGTCCATGTGTGGCTGCTCCATGTTGCCGATGGCGTACCAGATGCAGGCTAGCCAGTGCGCGATGAGCGCAAAGGTGCACATGAGCAAGAACAGCACGGCCGCGCCGTACTCTGAGTAGCGATCCAGCTTCCGCGCCACGCGCACCAGCCGCAGCAGCCGCGCAGTCTTCAGCAGCCCGATCAGCTGGGGGACAGGGAAGGGGCACATTCCGTTGATGGGGCAAGGGGGGCAAGGGAGGAGGGGAGGTGCTGCGGCCCTCAGAGCGAGCATCAGAGGTCAGATCCCCAAAGACTTCCTAGACCCTCCTCCTAAGAGGTGAAGCCCACACTGGGCCCAGCACAGGTGTCTCATTAATCTTAGTGCTAGCTTTGGGACAGAGGCAGCCCCCATAGTGTGGATGAGGAAACAGGGGCACTGACAGGTGCAGTGATCACCCTAGGGTGCCTGCCCACTCCCACCAGCTTCTAGGGCACTTTGGTGACGCTACAAAATAATGGCCCCTTGGGATGGACGAATTAGAAAAAAAGGTGTCCTGTGTGGCCCTCTGCAACCTGCGAGGAGCTTGTGTGGAGAGAAGGAGCATAGGTTTGCTGGGGTACCCACCTTGCCTCTGCAGCTGCCTTGCCACCATGTCTCTCTCCCACTGTCTTTCTCTCTTTCTCTCTCTCTCTCTTTTTCTCTGTCCTCCTCGCCACCCCCTCCACCCCACTACCTCCCACCACATTCCTGGCCTCTCCTCTCCCTACACCACCTGCCTCCTTGCTGACCCCACCTCCTCAGAGCCAGAGCCGAAGATGAGCAGGTCGAAGGGGATGGCGGCCACCATGTCGATGAGGAACCAGCCCTTGAAGTAGTGGACGGCGATGCGGCCGGGGTGGCTGACCACCTCCTCGTTGGCATTGACGTAGGTGGTGCGGAAGTTGATGAGGATGTCCACAATGAACATGATGTCCACGATGAGGTCCACCACAGCCAGCGGCTGGCAGGCGTAGCCACACTCGGTAGCAGGCGGGCCTTCTTCCGTCTCCTTCAGCAGGAAGGCAGCCGAGTAGGGTGTGAAGACAGCCGTGTAGATGACCAGCAGCAGGATGAGCCAGTCCCACACGGCCTTGAAGGGGCTGTAATGCAGGATGGTCCAGCGGTGGATGCGCGGTGCCTGCAGCTTGTACTCAGGCAGCACGTCGGCGCCCAGGGACAGGACCTGCACCCGGGGAAGGCGGAGGTGTGGGTGAGGCAGGCCATGGGACCTCGGGGGCAGGAGCGATGACATCTCTGCCGGGGCCAAGCAGAATGAGGAGGAGGCCAAAAAAAGCTTCCATCAGAATGCCCACCCCTCAGCCAAGCGACCACAGCAAATGGCCACCCCCAGGTTTGGGCATCATGGTTCCCAAAATGCCACACAGCACAGGACTGGCTCCAAACAGTTCCAACATTTCCCGGCAGACGTGGATTCAGGCCACTCGGCAGGAACACCCAGTGCTGCTCCCCGCCGGCAATGCAGATGCAGACCTGCCACTGTGACTGCCCTGAGACGCTGGCCCACACACCCAACCACACACGCCATAGTCTCAGACCGGAAAGGGTTCCAAGGACAACAGCTCCCAACCTGGGCAGTGGCCCCAGGAGCCATAGCCCCAATCCACTGACTGGTAGTCACTGCAGTTCTTACCAGCCCCTCTTCATGCCACAGGCCCGAGGACACCAGGCAACCAGGATGGAGAAAGACCAAGACACTCCCACCCTCCACTCGCACACCTCGCTCCCTCAGCCCCCTCTCCACACAGGTCCGGGACAGCCCACAGTCCTCATCCTCCCACCCTCTTACAAAGGGACAAAGAAGACATAGCCCAGCTGGGAGGAGATGGCACCCAACTTATACAGAGGGACGTGCACACAGGGACTGCTCAGCAGTGACACACACAGCCCCTGTACCAGCTCACACTCACACTCTGCCTCCTCCACAGTCATCAGACAGAGGCAGGCTGGCCATCCGGACCCGGTGACAGCAGGCACGTCCCTCTTGCTCCCAAGGCAAACTAAGAAGAGCTCCGGCCAGCTTCTCCACACTGTCCCAGAAGCTTCTGGGTCTCCCTAGAATCCTCTCTCAGGCATGCAGCTCAACCCAAAAGCCCCCTCCCCAAGCTCTCCCTGCCATCCCTGGGCAGCCAGCTGAACCCAAGGCCTTGCCCAGCCCCCATGAATTCCAGAGGTGCTGGCCCTGCTCCCAGAAGCACTGACTCCCAGGCCCCCACACCCTCAGGCTTTTGGGTTGGGGAGGCCATAGTTGATGAGTCCCAAAGACTCCCCTTCATACTCAAGCTGGGCTTGCCCAAGACACCTTCACAGATGGCGCTGCTGGGAGAACATCTCCTTAGAGGAAATAACTAGAAGTCAAGACGGGTCATAGTCAAAGATTTGACCACCCTGGGGTGGACACAGGGCCTCCAGCGGTACCAGATGGGCTGCGGGAGCAGCTGAGGCCTAGGGCAGGGAGGGAACACATGGACAGGCTCACAGGCTCCATTTCTGCTCTGTCTGCTGTCTAAGTGCCCAGCTCCTTAAGGCAGAGAGCAAATGCCCATGGGTGGGTGGCCCTTCAGTGATCAAGTGGGGACTGAAAAAAAAAAAAGAAAACACTGGCCAGGCCCCTGCTGATAAGGGGGCAGAAGAAGGTAGCTGCCCCTGGACAGGGCTCTTCTCTGTGCCTGAGAGGTCAAGCCTCTGGGCGGAGGTGTCAGGACCACCCCTAACAGCAGTGACCCTACCCCTGAGTCTGCACACAGCATGAGCAACACTGCCCCAGGGTACAAACTCACACGTGCATGGGGCACACCTGACAGGGGCCAGTCCCAGCTCTGCAGCCACCAGCTCACCTATGGCCTTGGGCCAGGTCTGTCCCCCCAGCCTGTTGTCCTATAGAATACTGAAGCTGGCTTGCTTAAGCCAAACCCTGACTCCTCAGCTGTGGGTGGGAAGACCTACCTGTACCTGTCCCCCAGCTGGAAAGAGTGTATGAGCCAAGGCAGAATGTGCAGATGTGGGGTGGTGGGGGCAGGGATGGGATTCCCAGACTTAGCCCTGAGCCACCTCCCACTCCTCCTCCACTGTCGGCCCAAGCCTGCCCCAGGCTGACAGAAGAGCGGCTGGATGGCTCCCAGGAGGTCACAGAGTAGTGCATGGCCCAGCCACCACACCTCGGCTGCCCATGAAGAGATGAGCCAGGTGCCTCAGCCCAGCGCGCCCTCACCACCCACACAGTGGCTTCCGCACATTCCAGCCTCCTCGACCCCCCAAAACAGCACAAGCCTCCTTTGCCCACAGGGTCCAACCCCAGCACACAGAGCAAAGGAGCCCCGGCGCCTCCATGCCAGGCCCAGCTGTCGCCTGCCGGCTTCTCCTGGTCCTGCCCATGGGCTCCTTTGTCCCACTCCGCCTCCCCACCATCTCTCTGGGCACCCATCTCATTCCTGTCATCTCCCCACTTTGCATTTTGAGCTCCAGGACTGTGGGCCATGGCAGGCACAGGAGCGGGGAAGTCCCAGCAACGGAAACTCTGTAAGCCCAGCCTGGGAGGGAATGAGAACAGGAGCCAGGCGCGGGTGAGCAGGGCCAGGCCCCACGGCTCCCAAAGCTTCCTACTTCCCAGCAGCCCTCTCCCCAGCCTGGAGTCAGAGCCCTTGGGCCAGCCACCTGCCTCAGTGTGCCGGCCCCAGAAAGAAGAGGAAGGACCGGGTGTCACCTACCTCCTGGGCCACGAGGCTGGAGATGCGCACGGCCCGCCTCACCCGGCCTTTCTGGGCCCTGGGCCGCAGAGCCCCTGTCCTGCTCGCCTTCCCGGCTGGGGCCGCCATGGAGGACTTGGCTCCCTGCAGCCTGCCTGCCCTGGGGCCTGAGGGCCCGGCCACTGCCTCACCTGCACCCCAGCAGCAGTCCCAGCCCAGGCTGCACCCCCGAGGCTGGCCGACTGGCAACCAGAGCAGCCCCTGGCATGAAGCCAGGGTGGTTGTGGCTGGGCCCCAGGGCTGGGGTCACCCTGGCAGTAAGCGTGGGCAGCAGCCTGCCTGGCTCGAGCTGCCCATGGCCCCGTGGCGTGGGCCCTGCTGCCAGGGTGCCGTGCTCTGCCCGCCCGCCAGCCCAGCAGCGGCCGCACTCGGAACCTCAGCTCCTCCAGCCGGCCCCTCCTTCTACCAGGTCCCCACCCCCACCCCGCCACACTAGGCTCCCCCGCCCCGCCGGTGCCCAGCCAGCGGCCCCCTCCCCCGCAGCCCGCCCAGGCTCCTGCAGCGGCGCTCCCGCAGCCTGAGCCCCTCCCCCTCCGCCAGCAGCCGGGCCTGTCACCGCAGATTAATGGTCTCCCTGACACCCCCGCCCAGCCGGTCCAGTGCTGAGCCAGCCAGAGTCAGACAGAGACACCCAGAGATGGAGAGACTGCTAGTGACTGGCAGGAACACACACGCCTGCCGACACATACAGGCGCACATGCACAGACCCACCGCAACTCACGGGCACATGCAGCGGGCACAGGAGCAGGGCAGATGCCAGGGGCTCAGGTGGGAACCAAGAGA
This sequence comes from Homo sapiens, assembly GCF_000001405.40. Taxonomy (NCBI): domain Eukaryota; kingdom Metazoa; phylum Chordata; class Mammalia; order Primates; family Hominidae; genus Homo; species Homo sapiens. Next base: position 150,956,218 of record NC_000007.14, read on the forward strand.
GAAGCAAGGGAGGAGGAAGAGAGGGGTAGGTGGCCAGATAAGGGCCTGGGGTGAGGGGGAATGCTCTGGAGTCAAGGCCAGTGGGCTGGAGACCTGGCAGGGACCCAGAAAGCCAGGCGGTGGGAGCAGGGCCAGGAGCCCGCCGAGGTAGCAGGGCAGCTCCCTTACATGAGCCAACCCAGGCAGCTGCTGTGGAAGGGGCAGGAGGGAACAGCTTGGGACAGGAGTCCTCCACATTATCCCAGGCTTCTCACTCACTGCAGAGATCTGCACTCCTGACCCACCCACCCCCAGCCCCCAAAGGCTAGGATAAGGTGTCGGGTGGATGAAGCCATGGAGGGGTCGCAGGTCCTCTTGCTGCCAGGAGGACCCCAAACCCAGGAGGGGACAGAAGACCAGGCTGGCTAATGCCCCCAAGGCTGAGGGGTCTTCTCTGGCCCAGGATTCAGGGACCTGACCCTTCCATATCTTTGTACCCACCACCTCCCTATGAGAAGAAAACTTGCTTCTCCCATGCTTTAGGGACATAGTTGGGCCCCTCGAGGCCATCCTGGCCATCCCCACAGGACTGAGGCCCACCCTCTGCCTGGCACATCACCTTGGCCTGGAAGAATTAGGACCCTCCTGTCCTTGACCTCTGTGACCCCTTCTCATTTGAAGCCTCCCAGTTGGCTTGGCCCCTAGTACTTCCTTCACACACCCTGCAGCCAGACCTTTCATGTCCCTCAGGCCGCCTTCCCCCCTTGCTACTGGCCCTGTCATGTCCCCAGCCTCAACTGCCCTGTCCTCACCCTGTGCCCCGAAGGCACGCACCCCATCCACCCGACCTCCGCTCTGCCATTCCCAGCCCTTTACCAGACCTCTCCAGTCCCCTCTCCAGGACTTCTCAGACTGTCCCCTCTCCCCCCATCGCAGCTCTGGAATAGATTGCCAACCCCAACCCTCAGGTCTGCCTCCCTCCAAGAGGCCCTCACTGGCTAGCCCCCTCCACCCGGCTCTGGATCACAGCCCACTCCCACCCCCTCTCCAAGCTCCTCCAAGGTGAGAGGAGAGCCCGGCCGCTGGGCGCCTACCTGGGTGACCTTCTCAGTGACATTGTGGGTTCGCTCCTTTATCTTAGGTGCTATGATCTCACGGTCACTGGTGGGCGAAGCCAAGAAGGGGTCGCCCTTGAGGTCCACAAAGTTGAGGGTGATTTGGGGAATCTTGCTAATGGTGCGGTAGCGCACGAGGTCGGAGTCCGAGGTGGAGTTGAGCAAGCCGCTGCGCAGTGGGTGCATGGCCCCTAGGTGGAGAGGCAGCGTGGTCAGGCCAGCAGCCCAGGGCCCCAGGCCAGGCAGGCCACCCATAGATCGAGAGTGGAGACCAGGCCCTGCACAGTCAGGAGTCCATGGGGTCAGCTCAAGAGACCAGGGGAGTCACAAGAAACAAGAGAGGTCAGACCCCTGTCCCACTCTAAGGAAGCAGCCAGGAGACAGCCCTGAGACCAGGAAGAGGAAGAGGAAACGGTCTGCTCCAGGACGCTGGCAGGCAGGGGGCCAGGTGGTGTTCGGAGGCTGGGCACGTCTCCTGCCCAGGGCATCCCTGCTCCAGGCCGTCCCGGGACAGCCAGCTCCAGGGGCCCACCAGGGCTCTGGGAGTGGAAGAATGTAATGGGATGAATGGACATTTAATAGCGCAACAAGCCACTTAATGGAATTAAATAAGTGCTTAATGGGATTTCCATCTCCCAGGCACCCAGGACGTAGTGAAAAGGTCAGAAGCCGAGGGCCCAGAATGCAGCAAGCCTGGCAGCAGAAGAAGCGTGGGCTGGGGCGGAACGGGTCCCGCGGCGCCCTCACCGGTGCTGGCGTGGCGCGGTGGCGGGGGCAGCACCCCGGCGCGCATGGCCTCGATGTCGTCGGCCGACGAGGCGCGGCGCACGCTGGCGCAGCTTTCTCGGGAGCGCGTCCGGGCCAGGCTGCAGCTGGAGCCCGAGGCGTCGGGGTTGAGGCTGTGCGCCCGGGGCGATGGGAGCTGGCCGGGCGCGCTGCGGGGCGGAGAGCCGGGACCCACCAGCGCACGCCGCTCCTCCGCGGGCCCGAGCCCTGCCACGTGGTTGTCCATGGCTGTCACTTCGTCCAGGGCCAGCGACTCGCTGCTGGGTGCCGCGGGCGTCAGGTCCACGTCCACCACCACGGCCCCCGGGGCGCCCGCGCCGCCCGCGCCGCCCGACCGCACCGACGACTCCCGGGCCGTCAGCGCCAGCAGCGCGGGCAGCTTCAGGCGGAAGGTCTTGGCGCGGCCTGCGGGAGAGGAGAGGCACGTGGTCGTGGGGATCGCGAGCAGCCCCGGAGCGGGCAAGGCCTGGGAAATGGACCCCCAGCCGCTGGGTAAGGGAAGGAGGGGAACGGGCAACCCCCCATCCCCACTTCCATTCACAATATTTTGACCTCGAGTCTCAAAAATCATTCTAGAATCCAGTCATCATAAACCGCCATATCTGAAGTGACACTTCAGGGCGGATTCCATAAATCATCCCTGTCTCTCACACCGGCCGCTGGGTGCCAGCGTCCCCATTTTAGACATGAGGAAGTGTGGACACAAAGGCGTCATGTCACTCTCTGGAGGTCACACAGCCAGTGCGTGGGGCCTGCGCCTAAGTGGGCGACACAATGCCAGGGGCCCTGCCGTCAGGGGTGGCATCCGATGAGCAGGTAGGGCCAGTTTTACTGACACTGTCATTTTAGAGTGTAAGAAACCAAGAGGTGAGCACTTTTGTCATGATGCTGAGGGAAAGATTAAAATTAAGCCAAAGAGGGCATCCTGACAGAGGAAGGGGCTCCGAGCCTTTGTTGTCAAGGGGATGGTCCAGCCCAGGTGGGCATTCCCTCAAAGCCTCTCCTCAGCTAGCCCAGACCCCCAGGAAACTTGGCCAGTCCATGAACAAGGAGCAGATGAAAGAAACTACACACAGCTGAGTCCATAGGACACAGCTTCCTACTGAGGGGAGGAGCTGCTCCCAGGTGGTCATGTTCCCCACCCTGGGCTGCTCAAGCCAGGCTGGAGAGAGGACCGCTCCCAGGGGATGCTGGGATGGGAAGCCCAACAGATGAAGCTAGGGAAACGGTGCTAGCCCACGCCAAGGACCTGTGATTCTGGGCCCTGTCATTCCACCCCTATGTGTCCATCCTGGGCCAGGGGAACCAAGCCACATCCTCAGGGTACAGGGTTCACTTCCCACCTCCAAAGGGGGGACCCCCCACCCAACCATTACATCCTCCCTTCCTGCAGAGCGTTGACCTTGGACAGCTCACAGCCCCAAAGAAATGAGACCACGAACCCCTGAGCCTGCCCTAAAGCAAGTACACTTACCTGGGGCCAGCCAGCTGGTGGGGGGGCCCCGGTGGTTGGTGTCATGAGCCGGGGACCCCACCATGTCCTTCTCCATCACCACCTCGAAATTGAGGATGAACATGATGACAGCCCCATCCTCGTTCTTCACGGGCACCACATCCACCAGACATAGGAAGCAGCTCCCTGCAGAGTGGGAGGACATAGCCCCCTTGGCACCCACTCAGTGGGCAGAGCAGAAAGCCACGCAGGATGGACCCTGGAACCCAAGTGGGCCCGTCCACTTCTGCCTCCCCGTATGGCCCTTCCTCTCCGGGATCTCCCGTCCTGATCCCCCACCCGGCCATGTGCCTGCCGCCCTTATGGCTCCCCTCAATCTGTCTACCCCAGCTTGTTGCTGCCAGGCTCCCCTACCCCTCTCTCTGCCTATATGATTTATCTAGCTCTTTCCCGGCTGCACTTTTTCTCACGCTGGCTATGATCCTTTCTTCTGCCATCTTTGATCTCATTTCCTCCCTATCTCATTTCCTCATATCCTCCCAGCACCTCTGCCTTTCCCTCAAGCGAGGCGCTGTAGCACAGTGCTTAAGCCCACAGACTTTAGGCCTACGATCTCTGGGTTCATAGCCCGGATCTGCTGCTTAATCACTTATGCTTTTTTCCTAAATTATTTAACATCCTTGTGCCTCATTTTTTCCATCTATAAAATGGGAAGAATAATAATTTTTTCTTTTTAAAATTTTTTAACTTTTTAATTGACACAATAATTGTACATATTTATGGGGTACACAGTGATGTTGTGATACACATAATGTATATAATTCTTTTCTCATGAGTTATAAAGATTAACCAAGTCAGCACATGCTGAGCGCTTAGGCAATGCCTGGCGTATGCCGCACACTACAGACGGTTAGCTGTTACTATCTGTCTCTCTGTTCTCTCTAGATTAGCACCAGCCGTTGTGTCAGCACACAAGATAAGGACAGACGTTGAGAGCAAGAATTTCAAAAACTTTACAGCAATTTGGCATCACCACAAAATCCACGCATGTGCTCTTGTATTTCACAGATGTACCAGCCTATAACATATTAGCATTAAAAAACACTGATCCTTCACCAAAGAGTCTAAGAAGCACTGCTTCTAGATCTTTCATCTTCACCTCGCCTCGCGTTCCCCTCGATCCTTGACTTTTTCTTTTCCAGTCTCTCTCTGTCCACCAAAGGCCCTGTACCAGATGAGGTCAGTCCCCTAAGCCAAGCACCCCTGGTCTCCCTCAGCTCCCTGTTGAGCACATGGGCCCCCTGCTGCCCCACCGCCCCCCGCCCCCCAACCCGTGCTGATTTCTGAAGGAGCCCCTTTTAGGCCAAGCACTCAGTTCCACCTAAGGCCCAGCTCAGAACCTCCTGCCCACAGGAAGTCCTTAATGAAACCAGAAGGCAGTTAACAGCCCGCTCCAGCTCCTCTATGGCCCCCCAGGGACCCACCAGGCAGGCTCCTCATCTCCCACTCTCCCTAGGGAGCCTCTTCCTTCCTCTCAGCTCCCCCTCTGCTCAGCTGTCTTCTCTGCCTCCCAGTGTCTCCCGTCCCCACGTTAGTGCCTAGCACCTAGAGTCATACGCCCTGGGGCCAGCACTGGCTGGTGGTGTCAGTGACAGGCCATGCTGACAGGGAGGCTGCAGGCATGGGGGAGAGGCAAGGGTGACAAACCATGCAGTCCCACTCCATCTTAGCAACCCAGCCTCACTTTTTTTTTTTTTTTTTTTCTGAGACAGGGTTTCACTCTGTCACCCAGGGTGGAGTGCAGCGGCATGATCTTGGCTCACTGCAACCTCTGCCTCCCAGGTCCAAGTGATTCTCCTGCCTCAGCCTCCCAAGTAGCTGGGACTACAGCTGCATGCTACCACACCCAGCTAACTTTTGTATATTTTGATAGAGACAGGGTTTTCACTGTGTTGGCCAGGCTGGTCTCAAACTCCTGGCCTCAAGTGATCTGCCTGCCTCGGCCTCCCAAAGTGCAAGGATTACAGGTGTGAGCCACCGCACCCAGCCTCTCCTCACCTTTCTACCTCCTAGAGCCTCCCTGGCTCACCCCTACTCCTGATCTCAAACCCACAGCAGGGGCGACAGTGGTGGTGCTGTGAGTCAAGGTAGAAGCCGGCAACAGACACCGGCAACCTGGAGGCGACGCCACCCCTGGGACTTGGAGCTGGTGCTTGAAGCCTGACAGTGAGGTCAAGGGGCTGCGTGCTGGGGAGGCAGGGAGCAGGCCAGGTGGGAAGGGCCTGATGCATGGCAGATGCTGGCCAGGCTCGGGGATTCTAACCCGCTGGGGATTCATCTAGGGGAACGAGGTCTTCTGAAACCAGCTTAAACAGGATGGCACTAGGTGAAGGGGCTGGCCAGGAACTCTCCGCCCCACCCCACAGCTCTTCCACTCACCACATCCCAGACCCTCACAGCCCCGCCCGAGGGCCCTGAGCTCTGGGGCTCTGTCTGGGTCTCCCTGCAGCAGCCACTCTTGTCCCCTGACCTCTGGCCTCTGACACACAGCAGTGGTGTTGGAAGCTGCAGGGGGCTGGGCCCAGCTGGAGACCATTTGGCACCCAGACAGCCTGCCTGGAGTTTATGCCCTAATATGGTGATGGCCGGCAGCGGCCTGAACAGGGATGCGCCTCACCAGGACTGAGGAGAGGCTGGAGACCAGGAAGCCTTAGCCCAAGAGACCCCAGCACCCACCCCAGGGACCACAGCCAGCCAGGCCCTCGAACCTAAGTCCTCCACCAGGGAGCTTGCCTCAGAGAAGTCTAGAGTCTGGAGCCAAGATGGACTCAAACTTCAGAATGGGCTGGAGACTGTCCCCAACACAGGGCCCCAGAAATTCCAACCTTGAGACCTCAGCAGCCCGTCCCCTCTTCAGCTCAAGCTGCTCAGCAAGACAGCCCAGAATGGCATTCTGAAGCCCACCCAGTCCAGGACCCCACATCTCAAAATCCCCTGCCAGGGTCGCAGAAACTCTAGGTATACGCCACCTCACAGCACAAGCCTGTAACTCACACTTACACACACACACGAGAGACAGAGAGAGAGAGAGAGAGAGAGAGAGGAGTGACTGCTGGCCCTCTTCCTTTGTCGAGATTCAAGAAATTTTTCCTTTCAAAATAACCCTGTCAAAGGCCTGGTTATTCAAAAAATGTGAACTGGAGCCCTGCCTGATGGCAGGGGCTGGGGCGGGGGAGATCTAGCGATCATCAAGGGGATGTGGAAGGAAGGAAAGTAGGGGCCCCAGATAGGCCTGGGCTCTCAGAGGCACTGCCTGCAACCACCCTGCCGCGTCGGCTGGGGCTTCGGTGAACTGCCACATCACCTGCTCCCAGCTCTTCAGCCAGGCCTCCCAGCCAGACTCCATCCCACCACTGGCTGGGTTATGGGGGGATGGGAGTCCCTTCACTTGCCCCAGTGCCACCTACTCCAGACCCCCAGGCCCTCGCTCTGCTCCCTTCTCCCACCGACTCGCCCTGGCTCCTGCCAGTGGCCCCAGCTCCCCAGGGCAGAGACGAAGGACCCAGCTGCTGCAGGCTGCAGTTCCGCTGAGAGCCACTCCGTGGCAGGCACAGCCCACACTCCCGAGGCAGCCAGCACTGGGCGCACTCAGGGGGCAGCCAGGACAGACAAGGAGGGCGGAGGGGGTGCAACAGGGGAGAGGGTTCCCAGTCTCAAAGGGAGGGGGCATGGGCTGTGGAGTCAGGTGGCCTCTGCACATTGCATTAGAATGACTTTGGGCCGGTCACTTACCGGCCCAGAGCCCCGGGGCGCTCATCTGCAACACAGGGTGATCCTGCCCACCCCCTAGGGCCGTAGGGGTGAAATGGCCTAAGATATGTGAAGCTCAGAGCCTGGCTTGAGGTCACCATAAGCTTGAGACAGAAGAGAGGCAGACAAGGGTGGAGGGAGCTTAGCAATGAGAGGCCCCAGGGCCAGCCTGGCTCATGTGGCTAATGCCAGAACACTCTGCCCTGGCCCCATTCCCACCCCAGCCCCAGCCCCGACCCCACTCCCACCCCAGCCTCAGCCCCAGCGCTGGCTGAAGACACCTTACTTTGGGTGAGAAGGTTCTCCCTGCCTGGCCCAGTTCTGCTTCCTGGGCCCTCTGAAAGGGGAGGCACCCATGGACGCAACCATCCCTGCACAGGCTCCATGGCTCCTTAGAACCCCCGTGCCTTTGGGCCCAATGGCCTGGGTGAGGCAGGCAGGCTGGCCACCTAGCAGGCCTCCAGAGGCCATGCAGCTCAGAGCAGAGCGGGAGAGCCAGGCCTGGACACATTCCCAGAGTGGCAGGTACAGCGCCATCCTGCTACCACAGAAGGTGTCCATCACTTCTCAGAACACAACGCCGGCTTGCTTTCATTTGGTGCCAATCCACACCCAGCAGTCTACCTGGGGTGGGGGGCACTGTTCCTGCCCAGCATCCCAACCCATCCGAGGTCAGGGGCTCCACCCAATTCCCCACCTCTGGGCACCGCTAGCCTAGGCCAGGCCCCAGGCAGGAGCCACATTTGGCTGTGGCAGGGGCAGGCCTTATCTCCCATGTCAGCACCAGGTGGGGAGGAAGAGGCTGCAGATGGCCCTGAGTGACCTTAGGCACCTTCTGGGGTCAGAGTCTCCGTGCGCTCCTCCGTAAATGAGGTGCTATCACAGCTTCTTCCCAGGCAGCTCCTCCCAGTCCTCTGCAAATCACTAAGCACATCCGTGCCTGCGAAGTGTTGAGCCACCGTGACCAACAAGACACGCCTGGCACCTGCCCCCAGTGAACCACCCATCCAACAGGACCCCAGTTTGATGCATGGGCAAGAGGGAAGGAGAGGGAACAAGCCAGACAGGTGGAGGAGCCCCAGGGAGCCGAGCCACTCTACCCCAGCCATGGTGGCTCCTGCGTTCCCTCTATTTTCTGTGGCTATGGGCAGGTCACCCACCTCCCTGGGCTTCAGGCTCCCTGCGGGTACTGTGGGGACAAGTGATTCCTGCACTGGGTGCCAGATGAGATGACAGATGGCTTTGTGGAAGCATCCAGAATTCTAACAAGGCGGGGTGCTGGGTCCCTGCAGGGAAGGTGACCTCAGGGAGGCAGCCATCCTCGCCCTAGTCGCCTCCCTGCCTCGCTCGGAGCAGGAGGAGCTGTGCCCAGGACAGGCCCAAAGTCACGCTGAGGGCAGGAGGCTGGGGCTCCAGTCGGCCTGTCCGCCCCCAGGCAGAGAGGCTGTCTCCGGAGCAGCAGCCCAGGGCTGTGCAGTGTCAGGTTATATTTAGCCTGGTGGCGGCGACAGGAAGATGCAGCAGGAGCCGCTCCTGGCAGGGGGCCACCGTGTCACTAACACAGCTCTCATGGGCAGCCAGGGGCCTAGGAAAGGCCAGGGACATTGCAGGCCCAGGGGACAGAGTTAGGGAGCCCAAGAGGCCAACCAGTGAATGAGAGAGAAGGAGGGAGAGAGACAGAGACAGGGAGAGAGTGTGTGTGTGCGCGCGTGTGTGTGTGTGTGCTGAATGAGAGAGAGACCAGTCCTAAGCTCCTGCCTCCAGGATCTGGGAAATGCAGCAGGTTGAGGGGCCCCAAGCTCAGACCCTGACCCCACAGAAGCAGCATCTCCAGACAGACTCCTCCACCACCCCTTCCAGCCTGAGACCCAGCCAGCAATCCATGGGATCATTTATAGGGTCTTGGGGGCCGCTGTAGTCATCTAGACCCACCCAAATCCACTGCATGTGGCATGCCTGAGCCATCTCTGCCCCGGACCACAGCAATGCCTCAGAAGATCTCTGTCCTCTAGCTTCTCTAAAGCTCTGGGGCCCGGCTCTGCCTCTCGGGTGGTGCACGAACTGGAAGTCCCACCCGCTGCCCTCCTGCTGAGAAGCCTGGGAAGGTGAAACAAGGGCACGCTGATGCCAGGAAGCAGCTCTCCACAGCTCCCTGCACAGGCGCGTGAGTCCCGGGCAGTTGCGCCCCAGCTTCAGCCCTTCCCTCCTGCTCCCCATGGCCCCCACCCCTCTTCCCTCCAACTCCTCCCCAGCCTTCTAGGACCCCCTCTAGAAAGGTTTCCTTGACTGCTCCGTCTGACCCACATGGACGCTGCTCTTGGAGAACTTGTCCAAACAATGCCCATCGTCTAGAAGGCCACTGTACACTGGCCGGGCTTCCCCGTCCATCCGAGTCAGAGCCCTGAGGCCAGGGCAGGACTGGCAGTTGCAGAAGAACTGAGGGTGGACTCAGGGGTGGTGATCTGCAGTCATAACAGGTGGGGACAGGCCATGTCCCCACCCTCTCAGCTCCCTTCCAGATCCAGGGGCACAGCCCACCCTTTCACAGCAGAATTTGCCCATTTCAAGCCCGTGGTGCCCTCCAGCCCAAGTCTGGACAGCAGATGGAGCAACCATGGGAATTAAGGTGCCTTTTGATGAAGCAAAATTCAACCTGGTCATCAGTTTTCATGGAACACAGAGGCTGAGCACCCAGGAACCCAAGGGAAGGCGGCAAAAGCAGGAACTGCACCAGGTGTGAGACTTCTGAGCCTCAGTCCCCTTCAGCCCCCCTTCACTGTGACCCCACACACAGCTTGCCACAGGGCAGTGAAGGTGCACACAGCTGCCACTGTCCACCAGGGGACACTCTGGGGTCTCCTCTAGTGAGTGGCCTGTAGGCTTCTAGGTCTGTGCTCTGTCTTGGCTCCTAGCATACCCCAGACAGCCTGGTAAGCTTTGATAAAGCCCTGTCCCAATTCCAGCTCTGCCATGAGTCACAGCTTAAACCAAGAGTTATAATTCCTCATTGATTTGCCCCCTCCCCCCCCCCCACACACACACACACACAGGACACTGTGAAGCACCAACAAACAAATACGAGTGCTAATGAAAAGCCCCCAGAAAGTCAGGTGGAACATTCGAGCATCAAAACATGTGACGGTGATCCAAACATAAACAGCGAAAACTGGCATTATTTGCAGATGACGGGGTCACTTGCCTAGAGACCCCCAAGAAATCAACAGATAAACAATTAGAACTAATTAGATCAGAGAGTTCAGCAAGGTTGCAAGATACAAGATCAGCCCGCAAAAATATAAAGCATTTTTCTACACAAGCAATTAGGAAACATAGTCAAAAACAATACGTCTTTTACAATAGCAACAAAAACTCTTAAGTGTCCAGGAATTGACCAAGAAGGCACAAGAACCCTGTTGGAGTCGGGGCAAAAGGGAACAAAACCTTAAACTAGCAAGAAATACAGAACTCATCTGGTAAATGGAGAGACAATCCAGGCTCTTGAGTGGGACAAATATAAAGATGTCAGTTCTCCCCAAATTAATCTATAGAACCAAACTAATTCCAATCAAGAATCTAGTGGGTGTTTTCTTTCCAAGAATTCAATAAACTTTCTCTAAAGTTTATGAAGAAAAAGGGAGGCCAGGCGCGGTGGCTCATGTCTGTAATCCAGCACTTTGGGAGGCCAAGGCGGGCGGATCACCTGAGGTCAGGAGTTCGAGACCATCCTGGCCAACATGGAGAAACCCCGTCTCTACTAAAAATACAAAAATTAGCCGGATGTGGTGGTGCACACCTGTAATCCCAGCTACTCGGGAGGCTGAGACAGGAGAATCGCTTGAACCCAAGAGGCAGAGGCTGCAGTGAGCCGAGATCATGCCACTGCACTCCAGCCTGGGCAACAGAGTAAGACTCCATCTGAAAAAATTAATTAATTAATAAATAAAGTTTATGAAGAACAAGGGAGATCCACAAATAGCTATGTCAGCCTTTAAAAAACAGAATGAAGAGAGAGGATTTGCCTCAGCAGACGCTAAGACATACGGAAGGCTATAGGTTTTTGTTAAGCTATATCAATGCAAGAGCCAGTAAATAAATATTTGGAACAGAACAGAGAGCACAGGGACAGACTCATGGCTATGTGGGAGATTAACCTGATAAAGGCTGCCCCACAATTCAGCGGAAAAGAACAGACTGTTTACAAGATGCGTTGGGAAAGTTGGCACATTACATGGAAAAAATAAAACTCGATCCCTACTTGACACCACATACGGGGTAGTCTCAGGATAGATTATAGACCTAACTGAGAACAGCAAAACAATTAAGAGAACAGAAGAAAATGGAGACCCTCTGCAGCCTGAGACACTTCAAAAGTACAAACAAAGCTAAAAATCAATGAATTTGTTTGCATCAAAATTAAGTATCTTTGTTGGATAAATTGAAGAGAGACTGAATGGGAGAAGATATTTGCAATATCTGTTTCCAGTTCAACAAGGAATTAAAATCTGGAATACACTGAATGTTTAACAGTATGCATTGGTATCTCTAGAGTACACAAGCAACTCCTGCAAATCAACAAGGACAAAAGACGGCGACGTCAAAATTAAAATGAGCAAAGGACATGAGCAGGCAATTCACGGGAAAGTAAGCCCAAGAGGCTACCAGGCCTAAGAGATGCTCAGACTCAACAGAAATCAAAGGAATGCAAATTAAAGCAACAAGAAATCACTGTCACCTATTAGATTGGCAAAATTTAGAAAGGTAGATAATGTCGAGAGTGGCCAAGATATGCGGGTATGGGAATCTCGAGCTCTGAGAAGGAGGGTGATGACAGGCATGGCAGTACTTAGTTAAGTGTCCACATGTCCCGCGATCCAGCAATTCCACTCCCGGGCGTGTATCCCACAGACATCCTCACCCAAGTCCAGAAGGGACCATGTCCAAGGATATTCACTACAGCCTCATTTACAGTGGCTGGGAGTTGGAGACATTGTGGGGTCCCTCCCCGGGAGAGTGGGTGGGTGAAGCGTGGCGGCCGCATGCCACTGAATACGCACCTACAGACTAGATGTCGAACAGCAACCCAGCTGGACTTAAAGCACATTCCCAAGTAAGAAAAGCGAACACCAAAATACAACATATAGCACAATATCATTTACATAAATTAAATCTATATGCATATATCCAGACAAAATACACATTTGCAAGAACATATGCAAGCAACACATTCACAGTAAGTACATTTGAACGGTTGCCTATGGGGAGGGTAATGAGACTGGAGAGTGAGATAAAAGGGAAAAGGAAAAAAATGAAAGAGAAAGGAAAAAGCAATAACACAAATGCTGTGGTTTCAATTATTTGGGGGAGAGGCAGGACCCGGGGCCAGCAGCAGCCTGCAGGGAGGGAAGGGGAGAGGCAGGCAGCATGCAGGATGGGGCGGGGTGCACCATAGGAGCAGGGGTGCTGAGGCCCCGGATCAGGCTCATTTCCCACGATTGCAACAGCACGGGCTAGGAGCTGCAGCCACTTAGGTGACGCCCTGCTTCATGGCGAGGAGAATGAGCTCTGGCACCGCACGCTGCTTTGTGGGTGTCTGTCATCTCATTCCAGGAACACCCTCACACCCCAAAGTGCATCAGGGACAGGCGCTATGATCCCACTTAGCAAACGAGGAATGGAGGTTTGCAGACCCCAGCTAAAATCCAAGTTTCCTGAGGCCCTGAGCCCATCATGCCCCAGAAGGGCTCTCTGGGGGCAAGAGAGCTGGTGCAGTGGCATTCCACGCTGGGCAGGGAGGGGACAGCTAGGCTCGGGTTCCCACTCAGGCCACCCGCCAGCTGGGTAAACTTGGGCAAGTGCCTCAGCCTTTCTAAGCAAGAGCTTCCCTCCCATAAAGTGACGGAGAGGAATCCTGCCTTTCACAGGGCCATGAGGACCACCTGCGGTAAAGCATGGTTCCCCAGTTTGCAAACTACAAAGTGCAGTCACAACAATAGAAGTGCCTTGTGCTGCTGGTCAGGTGGCATCACCCCCACCTCAGCTGTGCTCTCTGTGGCAGCTCTAAGACTCTGTCCCCCCACCCCATCCTCCTCGGTCCACCTCTGAGGGTGAAGCTGGGAGCCCCCAGATGCTCCTGTGCCCCACAATGTCCACGCAAAGCAAGGCTAGAGGACTCCCAGACACAGCAAGTCTGTAACCAAGCTGGAAACTCCTGCCAAGTCACCTGACTCCCAGGGAAGGCTCCTGCAACGCAGCACACTGCCCACCCCATTCATTCATTCATTCAGCAAACAGTGCCGAGCTCTCGCTGTGCACTGAGCACGCAGATACAACAGAGAACAAAGCAGATGGGCTGCTCTCCACCCACCTGGAGCTCAAGGCCTGGTGGCGGGGAGAGGGACAGGGAACCTCCTCCAGTACTGCAGGAGGCGGAGGACCAAGGCTGCCTGGCTCCCAAGGTGTTTCTCATCCTGGATAAGCACCCAAAAAGGAGAGGGGTTTATCTGAGGCCAACCACAGGCCACAGCATAGAGATCTTTATGGGCAAGACTAAGGACATGGAGGGGACTTTAGGGGAGCACCCCACATTCATCACCTGTCCCAGCACCCCTCCCTCTTCTACTGACCCTGACTCCCATGGCCCTCCTGCCCACGTCGGGAGGGAAGTTCTGTTAAACTCCCTCACACTAAAGGGCTAAATACTTTCTGTCTCTATACTGGGAGGGGGCAATGAGAGAGAACGTGTTTTTAAGGAAAAAGGAGCACTCTAAACGCAGAAGTTCTCTAAGGGAGGAGTTTCAGGAACGCTTCAGGGAAATACCAACATGTGAAGGGCTTTCTTGGAACCTCCAAAATCACCCCACCCAGGAAGCCACCTCTGGGGAGAAAAGAGGCCCAGTCTCCCCCCTCACACACCCCCAAGCTGGCCCTTCTGCTGCCCCATGGCCCCCCTCCCCAGAGCCCAAGGCCACCATCAAACTCTGCTCCCATCTCAGACAGCTCTTCGCAAATATTTACATAGCTCCTCTCCGGGGGCTGCAGAAGACGCAACACGGAGAAGCCGCTCTCCCGACGCTCTCCAGACCCCAGGGTGGGTCAAGGAGTAGATAGCACCCTTCAGTTGCGTCATGCCTGCCTCACCCCTGGAGCAGGACTGGGATAGGAAGACTGCAGCCCCGGCAGACCAGGACAGACAGCCGCAGCTCAGGAATGACCCCCGTGGAGCCCCTCCAACAGGCCTCTGATCCAGCTAGAGAAGGGAAAGGTGGAGGGAAGGTGCTGCAGGGCAAGAGGCAACTGGCTCGGAAGCAGGGCCCCCATGGACCCCCGCCCGCACCTGGCAGCCCTGCAGATTCTCCCACTCAGCCCTGTCTCCAGGCTGCACCAGGCCTTGACCAGAAGGATAGGAACACCGCTGTCCCCATGATGAAGGGCGCTCCCCTGATAGCTTCAGTGCCACAGGAAAAGTTCTCCTGTGTCTAAGCCCCATCCTCTGGGATCGCTCTGGTCTGCCTCCTATCTCAAGACAAGAAAACCCACTTATACACCAATCCCTGTCCCACCTGCCTTCCCAGCCTCAAGGCTCCCCTTCAAGGAAAAGCTTCTTTCATCCTCAGCTCAGACCCAGGGGGCTGAAAAGAAGCAGAAAGTGGGTGTCTGAGCTGGGGAGGGGTCAGCCATGAGGGAGAAGGTGAGGCGTGGTGGTGACAAGAGCAGGGCGTCTGATTTAAAGGAATGGGCACAGGAAGAAATGAAGAAGGCAAGGAAGAAGACAGGACAGACGGCCTTGGGGGACGGAGAAGGGCAGGAGGCCCAGAGGAGTGGGGCTGATCACAGGAGGTACTAAGGATTTCAAGGCAGTCTGAGGTCTGAGGCCTGCAGGAGCACTGGGGAGGCTGGGTTCCAAGGCCGGGGACAGACCGAAGCCCACTGGGCGTGGGGCCACCTCTGAGGCCCTGGGCACAGTGCACTGGGGAGCAGGCCTGGACAGCAGGTCCCCACCCCCTCCCAACAGCCGCAGCATCAGCTGTTGCAGTGGGGGGCCCTCTGACCCTGTTACCATGGCAACTGGCCTGCAGCTGGAGTGGAGAAGCTAATAGACTCCTCTCCAGAGACACCACCGTCCCCACCCACGCACAAGCTCCCGGGGACACAGGGACATGGAGCCAGGCCAGGCCAGTCAGAGGTATGAGCAGCCAGACAGAGCCTTCCAGATAGAGGCTCCGAGGGGTGGGGGACAATGGGAGAGAGGGAGAGAGGCAAGGAGCAAGGTTCCGGGGTGCTGAGGCGAGGGAAGAAGACAGGAGGAGGCACCAGAGAGGAGATAAAGACCAAGGGACAGAGAGTAAGCCAGGCAGGCAGAAGACAAAGGCAAGGAGATGTGGGGAGTGAGAGAGGAGCCGAGAAGGTGGGCACAGTCAGGCTGGCTGAGCACGGTGGCAGGGAAGCAGGGAGCAGAGGCAGGAACAAAGAGCAGAGAGGATGCAGGGGGACAGAGAGAAGGGACTCTGTGAGGACTGGCAGAGGAGGAGCCACAGCCCCCATGGCGATGTGGGAGCACAGGTGTGGACCCAGCCAGCACCTGCTGCCCGGGGTGCCTCCCCAGGGCCTTGCGGGGATGTTACCGCCAGCCAGCCTCACACCACTGGACTCTGCCCCCAATTCCACCTGAATCCCGGGCCTGACTTCAAGGGGCACAGGGCCAGTGAGCCCCAGGCACCTCATGTCTCTCCCTTCAGCCCACACTCCCCCAGTCTAGCCTCCCCACCTCCCAGCAGTCCCAGCAACTAAATAATGGGGCTGTCTGGCTCCAGGCCCTGACACTGCGCAGAGCAAGGCTAGAGGCACCAACACAGCACAGCTGTCCACGGCGGCGCCTGCCAGCAGAAGGCTCCACCTCCTGCCCAGCTCCCCCTACCCGAGGCTGGCCCAGGCAGAGACCCTGAGAAAGGCCTGGACAGAAACAAGGGGTGGCGCAGGCATTCCTCACCTCCGCCTCCCTACCAGGCCCATGTGTGAGTACACACACAGGCACGCACACACGCAGCCCAAGCCAGGTCCCGGGGATCACAGGAGGGACTGAGTGTTTCAAGGCAGAAGAAGCGGAGGCTGAGGAAATCTGTCTGCATCACCCCAGGCCTAGAATGCCAGGATACATGGGGTCCTAGGTGGCTGAGTGCCAGGCCAGCCTGTTGGCCAACAGGAGACACCTGAGCCCCGTGGAAACTAGGTGAGAGTGAAGAAGGGGACAGACAGAGATTGCTGGCACAGAGTTTTCTGGGTCACAGCCCCATTTTTTGGAGTTGTAACCTGGAGAGGGGACAAGTTTGAACTTGGGCTGGGGATCTGGGTTCTAATCCCACTCCTTCCACTGATTCACTGGTCATCAGACCTCTGCTTCTCCGTCCTTCCACCTGCAAGTCGAATGGGTTGGATTAGGTGATCCCACAATAACTCCTCTGCAGAAGGGGGCCCATAGCCATCCTCTCCAGAAGGGGCCAGCCTAGACTGGGAGGGAGGGCCAGCTCCACCTAAGAGCACTCCACACATACCACAGCCAAAGGAAAGAGCCCTCAGCCGCTGCTGCCAAGAGGCCAAATCCCCAGCACAGCTACATCGTAGTGGGACTGGCACCGTGTTTACAGAGCACGGCCCGTTGCAGGCACTCTCTATGAAAGCTCAGCACCCTTGTGAAGGTCCAAAGCAAGGCACGTTATCCCAGAAGTAGAAACAGGCCCAGGGAAGTCAACCAACTTGTCCAGTAGTGTATAATTTCCAGCATTGTCTTAGACACAAACCCAGGACTTATGGGTTCATATTCTTTTCAGTACACCTGTGGTTGGCAAACTTTTACAATAAAATTTCACATGAGATAATGTACAGCATACAGATAGACCTGCAACTACCTGGTGTCATTTTCAATATATGACAGACAGAACAGAGCGCACAGGGCTCCGGTCAGACAGATGTGGGCTCCGTTCCCAACTGCTATTTTCTAGCTGTGTGACTGTGTGAACTTCAGTTTCTTCATCCCCCAAAATGAAGACAACAGTAGTGTCTACCTCCCTGGGTTGTGAAGAGTGCCTGAGATAAGAGAAGTAAAGCATTTGGCCCAGTGTCTAGCCCCTAGAAACCATCCACTGCCTTCAGGGTTTGAGTCTAGTCTCACAGCCCC